>NC_000013.11:77650530-77802045 GCF_000001405.40 Homo sapiens | reverse complement strand
TCTTCTCATTTCATCCACACCTTTCAAAGATATTTCCCTTCATCTTTCCCCTGCACTGCATGCTGTATGAGGGTTCACTGCATCTATCACTAATGTATTACATATTGTTTAGTTTATTACCTGTGCTCCAGTAGGATGTAAGCTCCGCAAGGTCAAGCACTTTGCTGCCTTTGCTTCTAGTGGTATTTACAGTGTACAGAACAGTGCCTGATACCTATTAAGTCCCCAAAAAGTATTTGTCAAGGGAATAGATGAATCAATGAGTTAGTGTAGGAGAATATAGATAGCAAGAGGAAACTGGTGAGAGAGAAGATCACAGAAGTGGCCCAGACCAAACGACATTGGCCCTTATATGTTATGATAAGTGGTTTGGATTCTACTCTAAACATAAGACAGCTACACAGAGTCTTAAGAAAAGATGACTATCTGCTTTGTGGAGAATGATATGTATGATTTTAGGTAATTTCTTGAAAGCCTATGTGCAAATCAGATTTTTGGTATATCAAATAATATTCTTAAGGCATTATAGTGACCTTCAATTTTATAAAATTAAGAAATCATAGCTTTCTATTTTATGAAGACAGATTTTCCTTTTAAGGTGGAATAATAGCTGATAGCTATGAACTAAATAGATTTATTTTATTTTATTTTTAAGAAACATCCTTTAATAGCATGTTCCTAACACTTATTTACAGAGTTCTCTCTTTAACAGTTCCATTCGCTTAAAGAAAATAGCACGTAATGCATCTCTAAAGAAGTATACTTAGATTTAGCTCTTAAACATGTATATGTAAACCTGTTATAATAAGGTTTTGTGGAAAAAGGACAAGAAACATCACTAAGTAGATTTAAAAGAAAAAAAAATCTTAATGTAGAAGAATAAATGTTGCCCCTTATTTTCATCTCCTGTAAATTTATAGAACTTTATCTTTTTTATTGTTGGTTTGAACAAGCAGAAAAACTTAACCTTACTGTCAGACTTTTAAAAGTTACTTTCCCCTTAAGCAGATAGAAAACAATATACGGATATAGGAGCAAGGCATAGTGTGAAAAGGCCCCGAAAGGGAGTTATAAGCCAAAGGAAGTTACCTTCACAAGTTGAATTCATTTAAGTCTTGTTATCTCATCAGAACAATATAACCTTCCCCTTTCCAGAGTAAAAATGAAATCATGTAACTGACTAATAAATCCAAAACAGACAGTGAAGTTCACTAAAGAAATATAAAACATTGCTTGTTTTTGTCAGTATCATGGCAATGGGAAGTCATATTTTGTGATATTCCACAATCTTAAAGTGTTTTAAGCAATAATGGTAACATTACATGCCCTTTTTTATGTGGCTCTTTTCTTATTTACAACATCTATAAAATAAACAGAGCCAATGTTCTAGAGGAATTCCCGGGACTGGGAAACTGAGGCAAAAACATGCCTGAGTATCATGGGCTGTCCAGCCAATTAATAATAAAAAGAGGTCTCAAACCCAAGGTCTTTGCCTACGCTTGCACAATTCACATTTCCTTTAACAACATTCACATGTAGAAGATGGATTCAATTAAGATAATAGAAGAAACCAACTCTAACCCCATGAATCACGTATATAGAAACACAAAACAGATGAGTTCATTTGCAGTCAGTTGTATTTCAAGGCAAAGGTTGTGCGGGTTTATGCAGACTTCCTAATTAAAGGCTAACAAACCCAAACTAAAGATGACACATCCCTCTGTGAGGAAAAAAAAAAGGGAGTTTAGCAGTGTGGGTGGTATGTGAGTTATAAAAAATGATGAATTTGGATGATGATAATGTTTCTGCTCAAAGACAAAGCAGACTAGAGAATAGAGAATGTGATTTTAAATAAAAAGGAAAATGAAAAATGAAAATTATGTTCTTTTTGAAATATCCCTCCTCTTCTTAACTGAACAACAATCTCAATGTTAAAAGTTATTGCATTGACTATAAGTGTCTTGAAGATGAGAACTGTGTCTTATCACCTTTAAAAAAAGTTCTAATACCAGAAATTCAATGAATATTGCATAATACAGAGGAGAAGCATAGAAGGAGGCAGAAACAAAAAGAGAGGGAAGAAAAAGAGCAAGTGTTATTATACAAGGCCTTATTTCTGATCTTGCAAAAGGAGTAAATGGGCAAAAATGAGGGTCCACAGAACTTGGGGACTCTCTTTAAGTATTTGACCTTAATCCTAAGTCAAAATCACTCTCTCTGTAGTGAAGACGGCTGTCTAAATCAGAGCAGAGGTTTTAAAGTATACATTTTGAGTGCAGCTTTGCACATTGGCACAGAGTCACAGTTCCTACTCAAGATAATTTGGATTATGTTCAGAGCTTGCAGACCTAAGTAAAGGTAGGAGGTTGAAGCCCTATTCCCCTGGACCCTGCTAAACTTCCCAAAGTCCCTACCAATGCCCTGACTCCCACTTTTCCTGGCCTTCTCTGTTCACCGAATTTCTGTAAAGTGAACAGAAGGGCTGTGATCATCACCTCTGGATGCCTTTCACTCTTCCAAATATGCTTTGCTCCCTACTTACAAAATGATCCAAAGGAACTTTTGACCTCCGTAAGAAGAAGAAAATCCTCTTTCTCTGGATCCGCGAATGAAAACAGCTGAAATCACTGTTGCTGATCTGTTGTTTAAAGAAGATTTGGCATTGTAATCTTCCAGAAAGTAGGCACAGTTTGGGTTCTGTTTTTAAACACAGATAAGTGCACTCTTCCCCAGTGTGTTTGGGTGCTTTTGATGGTAATAATTATTCTGAGTGATTTGGTTAAGCTAGAATAATAATTATATTCAATAAAGCAATACCCGTGTCAGGAGACACAGGGCTGATCAAAAGATTCTAAAAGTAGGAATCTGTTTCAGCAGAAGAGCCTGACAGATCTTGTAAGTCCAGGGGGGCATGGATTGAGATATATTGCCAATTAATATATGAGGAAGAAAGGAAACATCATAGATCCATGTAAGACACCTGAAATGAGTTCTATGAAAACAAGGGGATAAATAAACTGGTTTGACACACTCAAGCAGGGATTTCAAGCTAAAGGGGCTGGATTAAACAAATGCATTTATCTCTAGCACTCCTCAAGCTCTAAAATTTAGAATGAAGGATAAAAATGATACAAATTAATAAGAACAAAAAGAATTGTAGATGAGACTAAAGGAAACAGTATATGTCAGTAGCATTTTGGAAGATGGAAATTCCAATCAAAGAGGAGTTACAACTGATTTAATGGAGTCCATAAAACAGTGTCCTACCTGCCTGACATCAGTTCCCACCTCAGCTCAGATATGGACTGGGGCTGATACAACAGAACTCATTCAAATCTTTATAAGAAGCAGACTTCCAAAGCCACTCATCTGCCCTTACAGCTGGGTGACTATCCCCTCCAGTACAGACACAAAACAGGAGGTTTATTCTCTGGTGAAGGTGGACCAGAAAGTATCTGCTGGGGGCAACAGTGAACTTCTCTGGAAACAGGGGGATTGAATTGTATTTTGCATATTGAATGTTTTAGTGTTTTAGTTTTATTAAACTCATGGACTCTGTGGCTCAGGAATTCAGACAGAGCACATGGGGATGACATGTCTCCCCTCCACAATGTCTGGTCTTCAGCTGGGAAGGCTGCAACAGCTGAGGTAACCCAATGACTGTGACTGGAATTGTTGAGTGGCATCTTCACTGACATGTTTGGCACCTGGGCTTAGATGACCACAGGCTCAGTTCATTGGGATCATTGAACAGAACATCTACAGACTAGAGAATAGAGAAGCTACATGGCTTCTCCGTGTAGCCAGAGATTTCTCACAGTATAGAGGCTTCAAGGTAGATAAACTTTTCTATGGTCTCTCTGGGCTACAAACATGAATGTCCCCTCTAAATATTGGTAAAGATGTGAACTGAATGAAGTTCATTGCTGATGGAACAACTGCTGTGTAAAACTGTCCAGTAGTTTCTAATAAAATTATACATATATACAGCAATATGGATAAATTTCAAAAACATTATATTAAATGAAAGAAGACAAAGACAAAATAATATATATACACATAATTTCATTTATATGAATAGACAAAAACTAATCTAGAGTAACGGAAATCAAAACACCAGTACCTACGTTACGCCTCAAAGAGGGCACAAGAGAACTTTCAATATTATTAAGTAAATAGAAATTATTGTAGGGGTGATGATAGTATTGTGCTTATGTAGTCAAATCTCTGATGGTAGAAATATGCATACAGCAAGTGTCATTATATCTGTACATTACTTTCAAATTGCTCGGCAAACAATCAAATCGCTCTATGTAAAGAGAGAAAGAGAGGCAGAGAGTGATATCCAGCTAAAGAGAGAAGGAAAGATAAGAGATGCATAGATAGATATAGAGAACAAGGGAAAGCAAGCACAGCAAAATGTTAATAATTAGTCTTGCCGAAGTATATATGAATTTTTTTTATAACTTAAACTTTCGTTTTAGATTCAGAGGGGAAAGATGCAGGTTTGTTTACTGGGTATATTGGGTGATGCTGAGATTTGGGGTATGACTGATCCCATCACCCAGGTATGGGGCATAGTACCCAATAGTTAATTTTTCAGCCCCTATTCTCCTCCCTCCTTCCAACCTCTAGTAGTCCCCCGTATCTATTGTTGCCATATTTATGTCCACGATTACCTGATGTTTAGCTCCCACTTATATGTGACAACATGCAGTATTTGGTTTCTGTTCTTGCATTAATTCACCTAGTATGATGGCCTTCATCTGCATCCATGTTGCTGCAAGAGACATGATTTTATTCATTTCAATGGCTGTGTAGTATTCCATGGTTTATATGTACCAGATTTTCTTTATCCAGTCCATCATTGATGGGCACCCAGGATCATTGCATGTCTTTGCTATTGTGAATAGTGCTGCAATGAACATAATTCGTGCATGTGTCTTTTTGGTAAAATAATTAATTTTCTTTTGGATATATACCCAGTAATGAGATTGCTACTATCGAATGGTAGTTCTAAGTTCTTTGAAAAATCTCCAAACTGCTTTTCACAGTGGCTGAACTAATTTACATTCTCACCAGCAATATATATGCATTCCTTTTTCTTCACAGCCTAGCCTGTATCTGTTACTTTTGACATTTTAATAATAGCCATTCTGACTGGTGTGAGATTGTATCTCATTGTGGTTTTGATTTGCATTTCTCTAATGATTAGTAATGTTGAACATTTTTCTTATGTTTGTTGGCTGCTTATATGTCTTCTTTTGAGAAGTGTCTGTTCATGTATTTGGCCCATTTTTTCATGGGGTTGTCTTTTGTTTGATGAGTTGTTTAAGTTCTTTATAGATTCTGGATATCAGACCTTTCTCAAATACATAGGTGTTCAAGTATTTTCTCCCATTCTGTAGGTTGTCTATTTACTCTCTTGATATAATAGTTTCTTTAGCTATGCAGAAGCTCTTTAGTTTAATTAGGTCCCATGTGCCAGTCTTTTTTAACGTTGTTGCAATTGCATTTGAGGACCTAGTCATAAATTCTTTCCTAAGACTTATGTCCCAAATACTGTTTCTGAGGTTTTATTCTAGGATTTATATAATTTGAGGTCTTGCATTTAAGTCTTTAATTCATTTTGAGTTAATTTTTGTATATGGTGAAATGTAGGGGTCCAGTTTCATTCTTCTGCATACCCAGCTATCCCAGCACCATTTATTAAATAGGGAGTGCTTTCCCATTGCTTATTTTTGTCACCTCTGTCAAAGATCAGATGGGTAGATGTGTGACTTTATTTGTGGGTTCTCTAGTCTGTTCTATTGGTCTGTGTGCCTGTTTTTATACCAGTACCAAGCTGTTTTGGTTACTGCAGCCCTACAGTATAGTTTGAAGTTGTGTAATGTGATGCCTCTGGCTTTGTTCTTTTTCCTTAGAATTGCTTTGGCTATTCAGGCTCTCTCTCTTCTCTCTCTCTCTCTCACTCTCTCTCTCTATATATATATACACATATGTGTATATATATGTGTATATATATAAAATACATATATATAATATATGTAAACTTTAGAAGAGTTTTTTTAGTTTTTTTTTTTTTAGTTTTTCATTGGTGAAAAAATGAAGTTTGTAGCTTGATAGGAATAGCACTGAATCTGTAGATTGCTTTGGGCAGTATGGCCATTTTAACAATATTAATTCTTCCAATCCATGAGCATGGAATTTTTCTCCATTTGCTTGTGTCATCTATGATTTCTTTCAGCAGTGTTTTATAATTCTTGTAGAGATCTGTCACCTCCTTGATTAGATGTATTTCTAGGTTGTTTTTTCTTTTTGCAGCCATTGTAAATTGGATAATGTTCCTGATTTGCATCTCAGCTTGAACATTATTGGTGTATAGAAATGCTGCTAATTTTGTATTCTGAAACTTTACTGAAGTTATTTGTCAGTTCCAGGAGTCTTTTGGTGGAGTCTTTAGGGTTTTCTAGGTATAGAATCAAATTGCTAGTGAATAAGAGACACTTTAACTTCTTCTTTTCCTATCTGGATGCTTTTTATTTCTTCCTCTTGCCCTGATTACTTTGGCTAGGACTTCCAATACTGTATTGAATAGTAGTGGTGAGAGTGAACATCCTTGTCTTGTTCCAGTTCTCAAGGTGAATTATTTCAGATATTGCCCATTCAGTATGATGTTGGCTGTGGGACTGTCATAGATAACTCTTACTACTTTGAAACATGTTCCTTCTATGCCTAGTTTCTTGAGGGTTTTTCTTAATCATGGAGACATGTTGGATTTTATCAAAAGCTTTTTTCTGCATCTATTGAGATGATCATATGGTTTTTGTCATTAACTTTGTTTATGTGGTGAATCACCTTTATTGATTTGCCTATATTGAACCAACCTTGAATCCCAGGAATGAAGCCTAATTCATCATGGTGAATTAACTTGGTGATGTGCTGCTGGATTTGCTAGTATTTTGTTGAGGATTTTTGCCTCTAAGTTCACCAGGGATATTGACCTGTAGTTTCCTTTTTTTATTTTGTCTTTGCCAGGTTTTAGTACCAAGGCAATACTGGCTTCATAGAATGAGTCGGGGAGGAGTCCCTCCTCCTTGATATTTTGGAAAAGTTTCAGTAGAATTGACACTAGTTCTTTGTATGTCTGGTAGAAACTGACTGAATCCATCTAGTCTGGGGTTTTGTTGTTTGGGTTTTGGTTGGTAGGTTTTTTATTACTAATTCAATTTCAGAACTCAGTACTGGTCTGTTCAGGGTTTCCATTTCTTCCTGACTCATTCTTAGAAGATTTTGTGCTTCCAGGAATTTATCCATTTCCTCGAGATTTTCTAGTTCGTGTGCATCAAAGTTCTTCATAAGGTTCTCTAAGGATCTTTTGTATTTCTGTGGGATTATTTGTAATATCATCTTTATCATTTCTGATTTTGCTTATTTGTATCTTCTATCTTTGTTAATCTAGTGAGTAGTCTATTGATTTTCTTTATCCTTTCAGAAAAAAACAACCAACTTTTGGCTTGGTTGATTACTTATATAGATATTTTGGTCTCAGTGTCATTCAGTCCTTCTCTCATTTTAATTATTCCTTTTCTTCTGCTAGCTTTGAAGTCAGTTTGTTCATGTTTTTCTAGTTCATCTAGGTGTGATGTTGATTATTGATTTGAGATCTTTCTAACATTTCGAGGTAAGTGTTAGCACCATAAACACCACTCTTAACAATGTTTTTGCCACTTTCCAGAGATTTGGGTATATTATTCCTCTGTTTTCATTTATTTCAAATAATTTTTTATTTCTCCCTTAATTTGTTGTTTACCCAAAAGTCATGCAGCAGCAAGTTGTTCAATTTTCCATGTAATCATGTGGTTTTGAGGGATCTTGGTATTGATTTCTATTTTTAGTCCACTGCAGTCTGAGAGTATAGTTGGTTTGATTTCAATTATTTTGAATTTATTGAGACTTACTTTATGACCAAGTATGTGATTAATCTTGGAGTATGTTCCATGTACAGATAAGAAGAATGTATATTCTATAGTAGATAAGTGGAATATTCTGTAGATGTCTATTGGATCCAGTTGGTCAAGGGTTAAACTTAAGTCTATAATGTTTTTGTTTATTTTCTGCCTCAATGATCCATCTAATGCCAGCGGGGGGTGGGGGTGTTGAAGTCCCCCACTATTACTGTTTGGCTATGTAAGTCTTTTCATAGGCCTAGAGTACCTGTTTATGAATCTGTGTGCTCAAATGTTGGAGACATATATATTTAGGATAGTTAGGTCTTCTTATTGAATTAAATGCTTTATCATTATGTTATCCCCTTCTTTGTATGTTCTCACTGCTGTTGGTTTAAAGTCTGTTTGATCTGATATAAGAATAGTGACCTCTGCTCTTTTTTGTTTTCTGTTTGCATGATCTTTCTCCAACCCTTTTCTTTAAGCCTATAGGTGTCATTATGTGTGAGATAGGGTTTCTTGAAAACAACAGACAAATAGGTCTTGTTTTTTTTTCTTAATTTTTTTAAATCAATCTTGCCACTCTGTGTGTTTTAAGTCTAAATGGCATTTAGACCATTTGCTTTTAATATTAATATTGATATAATATGAGGTTTTGATCCTCTAATGAAGTTATTAGCTGGTTGCTTTGTAGTTACTATTGTGTGGTTGCTTTACAGAGTCTACAAGCTATGTACTTAAGTGGTTTTTCTGTTTGTTTGTTTGTTTGTTTGTTTGTCTTTTTTTGTAGCAGCCGGTATTGTTCTTTCATTTCCATGTTTAGAGTTCTCCTAAGGATCTCTTGAAAGGCCAGTCTAGTGGTAAGGAATTCCCTTAGCATTTGTTTGTCTGGAAAAGATTTTATTTACTCTTAGCTCATTAAGCTTAGTTTAGCAGGATATAAAATTCTTGGTTGGAATTTCCTTTCTTTAAGAATACTGAAAATAAACCCCCACTCTCTCCTGGATTATTACCTTTCTGCCAAGAAGTCTGCTGATAGCCTAATGGGGGTTCTCTTTGTATGTAATCTGACTGCTTTCTTGATACTACCTTTAAGATTTTTTCTTTAGCATTGACCTTGGACAGTCTGGTGATATATGCCATGGTGATATTCATTTTGTATAGTATCTTGCAGTTGTTCTCTGGATTTCTTGTATCTAGATGTCTATGTCTCCAGATCAGACATGGTGCTAGGTCTAACCTTGTCTAGCAGAATTAGGAAAATTTTCTGGAATTATTCCCTCAAATTTATTTTGCAGGTTGTTTACTTTTTCTCTTTTTTTCTCTTTCAGGACTGTCCATAATTCATAGTTTTGGTCACTTAACATAACCCTATATTTCTCAAAGGCTTTGTTCATTTTTTAAAATTCTCTTTTCTTAATTTTTGTCTGGCTGGGTTAATTTGAAAGACCAATCATCAAGCTCTAAAATTCTTTCTTCTGCTTACTCCAATCTATTGATAAAGCTTTGCATTGTATTTTGAAATTCTTTTTTTTTTTCAGTCAGAGTTTCACTCGTCACTCAGGCTAGAGTGTAGTGGCACAATCTCAGCTCACTGCAACCTCCACAGGTTCAAGTGATTCTCCTGCCTCAGCCTCCCAAGTAGCTGGGACTACAGGCATGTGCCACCATGCCCGGCTAAATTTTGTATTTTTAGTAGAGATGGGGTTTCACCATGTTGGCCAGGCTGGTCTCAAACTCCTGACCTCAAGTGATCCACCCACCTCGGCCTCCCAAAGTGCTGTGACTATTGGCGTGAGCCACCACGCCCAGCCTTGAAATTCGTTAAGTGAGTTTTTCAATTCAAGAAGCTCTGATTTATTTATTTTTAAAATGCTTCTCTCTTCCTTCTTTTCCTGGATTGCTTTAGAAGTTTCTTTGCGTTAATTTTCAACTTTCTCTTGAATCTCATTGAGCTTCTTTTCAATCCATGTTTCGAATTCTTTATCTGTCATTGCTGAGTTTCCAGTCTGGTTAGGGACCATTGCTGAAGAGCTAGTATGATCGTTTGGTGGTGTCACCACATTCAGATTTTTCATGGTGCCAGAATTCTTGCACTGGTTCCTTCTCATCTGAAGGTGCTGGCACTTATAATTTTTGTAATTATTTTCATGCAAGTGGATTGTTTTTCTTTTTATTTGTTTCCCTATAATATTACTGGGGTTTTTTATTTCCCTTTCCCTATCCCCCCTGCCTAGGGAAAGTGACGGTAGAGAATCCTGGGTGGGGTCTTTTGGCTTTGCTTCTATAGCCCTACGCACTTTTGTCAGCAGGCTTTTATATTGGGCTGTCCAGTTCAACCTACAAGCCAATTGATGGTGCTTATGGGTAAGAGCCAGCTGCAGCCAGTGTGGCTCTGTATATTAATTGATCCTTGTTTACTGGCAGAAGCTCTCTGTTGCCTCAGGCAATGGGCTGATTCATGGAGTGCACAGTGCTCTGAGCTCCCTGCTCAGCCCCAGGCTGGCAGGGAATCAGATGGGCAGGGTCACACTGGGCAGGTCTGCCTGCAGGTCCTCCAATGGCAGGCACAAGCACCAGTGCCAAAGGAGAATCCAGTGGGCAGCCACCAAGCACTAGCGGTTTGTCTAGGTGTGGAGATGGGAAACTTAGTTGGCCCCAGTGCCCCATCTGGACTGGGATGGAGGGCAGCCTAAATTCTTAATCCAAGTGAGTGAGTGTTCCAGATACCTGGAGATCTGCCTGGGTTTGGAGTAAAGAGGGCCCCCCTGCTGCAAGATCTCTGCACAGAAAGGGTGTGGCAGCTCAGGCTGTTGTTTCAAGGAAGCTGGAACTCAGAATGCCTGGAGATCTGCCTGGTCATGTAGCAGAGAGGTCTTCCTTGCACCACAGTCTCTGCACAGGGAAGGTGTGATGGCTCAGAGTGCCACGGGAGAGTGAGTCCTTGAGATGTCTGGAGATCTGCTAGAGCATACAGCAGAGAGGTCACACCTGCACCAAGATCTCTGCACAGGAAGGACAGGGTGTCTCAGGCTGCTGATCCAGGTAAGGGAGTGCTCTAAGTACCTGTAGATCTGCCTGGGCATGGAGTGGAGAGGGCCCTACTGCACCATGATCTATATCCATGAAGGGTGAGGTGGCTCAGGCTGTTGATTCAGGCAAGTTGTTGCTCCAAATACCTGAATTTCTGCATGGGGGTGGTACAGAGAGAGCCCTACTGCACCGTGATCTCAGGATAGCAGGCTGGGGCACCCACCAATGACACACATAGACCAGTTCCAGGTCATCAAGCTGGCCCCAGCTATAAGTCTCATCACCCAGGAGAAACTGCAGCTGTGGCAGCTCTCCTCCCACCCCAAGCTTGCAACAGGGGAAAGCACAATTCTAGCACCTACTGCTAAGGAGCTTTCCACAGTTCTGGCTATGGAGGCTCCTACTACACTCCAGAGAAAGTGCTCCCATCCCCGAACTGAGACTAAAATGCCCACATGGCTACCCTGTTGGGTTGCTAAAGAATGGCTGACTTTGTATGCACCCGGATTAAAAGTGGCGTCCTACTCTTGGTCCCAGGGCTGGGAAAATGCCTGCAGCTTTTTCCTGTGTCTTTCCCCTACAGCAGCTCCAAGCCTCTCCCCAAGCTAGATCCGAGGATTGGGAGAAACAAAGTGCTCTCCCTCCGCCTGAGTTCCTTAAATCTCCAGTGGAAAGGTGAGTCACAAAGGGAGGCTCTCTGCCTCTCTCATGTACTGAGGCTTCACTCACTTTTATCAGCAAGGCACTGTCACAGAGGCTGTTTTCCTGCATTCTCCTCCCTGAGATCTGGGGTGTGCTTCACAATTTCAGTAGATTCTCATTTTCCTTCTTGAATTAAAGGTCACAGAATTGATCTTTATGCACTATCTTGTTGTTTCCAAGTGACTGAGTCATGCTAAAAGCCTTGAATCCACTATCTTGGGGGGAAAAACTTTTTATTTTGAAGCAAACCTCCACACATTGCATCATTTTATCTAGAGTTCAGTGTATATCTCTAAAATAAGTATTTCCAAACTGAGATTTAGAACCAACATATAGATTTAAGTATTTATCAAAGATCATGCTAATAGGTTGAGTTTGAGTTTTCTTTACACTTTTTGTTTAAATATTTTTTTAAAATGAGAGGATAAATATTGCAGCCAGGACCTGATGGCATTGAAAAGCCACTTAAAGATATCATCTAAATGCCTTTAGTTAATCAATGTAATGTCTTAAAGTTAGGGTATTTAAGAGACTTTCTAAAGGTAGAGTTGTGGTTGGAGATAGTTTAGACTAGTACTCAAGTCTACTGACTCCTAGAATCAATTAGTTTCAAAGAAATTTATATATTTATGGCTGTATAAACTGTAAACTGTAGTAGTATATGCCATCTACTTTGATGACTTAGTGTTGTGTAAAGTCAGCTAAACTGGAACTATACTTCCCAAAATATCCTTCCCTGCATGGTTTAAGTTAGAATTAACCACAAGAGGAACTTGTGTGAGATTTATATGGTAGAAGAAAAGCAGCAGTCATGCTCACACTGGGAAGATCAGTTGAGAGTCAGGTACTGTTGTAGTTCACATCATGCAGATTGTCCCAGATCAGCTGAGTCACCTTGTTGGCATGGGGCAGTATCCAGGCCTCAGCATCCAGCTCCTCCTAGATCTTCTTTAGCTTCTCAGCGGTGCAGGTACCAGCTCTTTTGCAGTCACTCACATCATCCAAGCAGGAAACTTAGAAGCAGTCAGAGCTCACCATGAGTCCCAATGAGAGATAAACACAGGTTCTAATTTATCCTCATGGGTTGCAGTTTGTTCTTGATCTCCTGTGCTTCATGCCCTTCTTCGCTTTACAACTTCTCACCCAACTGACTTAGACCAGCACTAGGAGTAACAAACTTACATAATAACCTATCCAGTTCCTGGAATTGCAGAAAGTAAGTCCCTATAATAAATCTCCTTTATTACTCAGTGTGGTTCTGCTTCTATGATTGAATCCTTGCTGATAAACCTGCATGACAAATTGTACTGAAATCAGTTACAAACATGGCTTAGAAACATTTCAAAATATTGGCTGCCATTTTCTATCAAAATAGTTTCTGTTAAGAGCATGAATTTCTGAAAATCCATAAGTGATGTCACTGAAATGCACATGTAACCTCAATTTGTACATTTTAAGCTTTTCATAGCCTGCTCATCTCCATTATTTAATTTCATAAACTTGTAGAAATACATAAGCGTTTAGCAGAGAATGTTGTGAGGAACAAATTTTTTAGCATTCTATAATAGTACAGATGTTCAATTGAGTTTCCTATTTGTCCATCAAGACATGGCAGGCCCTTTTCAATATTAATTTAGGGGTTTTCTGGAAAGTACATATGAAATATGAGTTCTGATGGACAGTGTGTGCCTGAAGATCTAATAGAGATGAGACACTTTCTGAAAGATGAATGAGCGATGAAAGCAGAAGTAGAGAAAACTAGGCACCGCTTCATTAATTCATTCAATCTTTTGTCCAACAATATTTATTGACAGCATACTACTATTCTCTGAAAATAAAGTAGTGAACAAGACAAATGAAATTCTGCCTCCATTGGAAGTATTCTCATTGGGATGTAGACATAAATAAATGAATGAATGGATGAACAGATAAAATAAATAATATAAATACACATAAATCTATAGAGTCATAAGTACTAATGAAAACAATAAACAGAGTAGTGGAGTAGAGAGTGAGTGGGCCTTGGGGTGCCTAGTTTAACTAGAATGGTCAGAAAGATTTCTCTGAGGAGGTAACATTTGTGCTAAGATGTGGATGATAAGATTGAGCTTGGCCACACAAAGACCTTGGGGAAGAGAATTCCAGGCAGAGGGACGAGCAAATGCAGAATGCAAAATGCACACCAATGTGGCAAAAACATGGGGAGAGTGAAGAGTGTGGAGAGGCAGGCAGAGGCCAGATTGTATGGGGCCTCATGGGCCCTAAGAATTGCTATGGTTACAAGACATTTTAATCAGGAAAGAGGCCCAGCACAGTGGCTCAAGGCTGTGATCCAGCCCATTGGGAGGTCAAGGCAGGAGACTGCCTGAGGCCAGGAGTTGGAGACCGGCCTGGGTAACATAGTAAGACCCCATCTGTACACCCTCTAGCCCCCCAAAACAGAAAGAAAGAAAATTAGCCAGGTATTGTAAGTGCCTATAGTCCAGCTGCTAGGGAGGTTGAGGCATGAGGATTACTTGAGCCAAGGAGTTCAAGGCTGCAGTGAGCTATAGTAGTGTCACTGTACTCCAGCCTGGGTGACAAAGCAAGATCCTGTCTCTTTAAAAAAAAAAAAAAAAAAGGAAAATTAAAAAATTAATTAATCAGGGAAGAAATATAATCTGACTTATGTGTTGAAGGATCAGTGTGGGTTAGAGGGTCAAGAGTGGGAAGAGTAAGACCACCCACAAAATTAGCCTTCTTGAAGGCATCTTCCTTGAAGGATGAATCTTTACAGACATTATAAATGACTAGGTCTCGGAGGACTTTGGGGAATGGTTACCTTTCTCTTGGGGTTATCTAAACAAAAAGTAAGGTAACTATATGCAGACATCTGACTAAGTAGTGGCTGCTGGATTGGCCCTACCCTCACATAATGCTGGGTAATAATGGGGCATCAATGCTGGTTTTTGATAAATGAATTGGGCAGTGTAAGTGGGCATTCCCTGTGACAGGTGCTTACCTGAGTCAAAGACAGTGTCACAGGACTCTGGTGAGCACCTGTGAGGTCTGGAATGGTATTTCAAGGCCACAGGCTCCAGTGAGTACAGGAGTCACTGCTGGAGGGAATTATTAGTCCCCCCATTACTCCATGATAGTAGGATTCAGACTTCTTATACCAATTCCTGTTCCCTGAAGGGAGTTGAGAAAGCTGTCTGAAATGCACATGAGGAACTGAGCTCACAGGCAAGATGCTTAATCATTAGATAAATATCTTAGCTTGACTGGTTTATCTCTTAACAGACTTGTTCAGTTACACTGTTTATTTCAAATATTTGAAGCTCATATTTCATAGCTTAGGAAGACTGTGGACAAAATCCTTATGTTTTTATTTGAAAGGCTTCCCCGGCCTTCAACAATAAGCTGTCAGAGAAAGAGAAGCAAGCATGGAATTTTAGAGAATGAGCCAGAGAGGCTAACTCAGCTGCAAGGTAGGGTTTTGCTGGAATGGCCAGAAGCTTAAAGCACAGTGTCTGACAACAGATCCAGGATGGTTTAACTGCTGATGAGTTTGTCTGAGCGCAAATGTAAATCCAGCTAGGATCCAGGCTGCTTTAACTACTAAGAGGTCTGAGTTGTCTCAAATCCTTACATGGTAGAATCATGGTCCTGGAGAGCTTTGACTAAGGAAGGGAGGAAAAGTATACAGTTGGGACAGGGTATTAGCAGGTATAAGAGCAGGTAGGGAATAAAAAGTGGTCACAGTCCTAGGTATGTAGATCATGCTTTAGATGAGGCTTTATCCCCATAGGCAGAGTAGAGAACAATCAGGACCTCAGGCCAACCAAATTCTAGCATCACTTCAGGAACCACCTGTTAAAGGGAATGAAGCCGAGTTGGTCAGGATTGACTAAGGAGCCAAGTAAGACTCAGCTGACAGCTGAAATTCTGAAATCCCTGAAGCTGAATAACATATGCCCAAGAGCAACATCTCCAGCAGGTAGATTGACACTGGTTTTTCTAGAAAGTATCTGTTTATTCATTATCATGTATTTCCCTTTAGCTTTTCTATGCAAACTCTTGCCTGCTCATCATGACCTATTTGACAGAATAGGCTGATAAGATGCAGGACTTTAGGTAATGAGATATCAAGTACTGACTAAAAAGTTGACATGATCATTGAGATGAGACTTTGGGTTCTATCCATTTCTATTAGGCTCCACTTAGCTTCCAGACAGAATAGTGATTAAATATCAATTTATGTTTATAGTCAAAGCATTTGTTTCAAAACTTATATTGTGTACTTCAGGGGTTGGCAAACTTTTTCTATAAAAAGCTACATGGAAAATATTTTAGGCTTTGTGGTCTATATGGTCTCTGTTGCAACTACTCTTCTCAGCTGTAGACAACATATGAATGGATGAGCGTGGCTATGTTGCCTTAAAACTTTATTTACAAAGTCAGGTAATGGGCTGGATTTGGTCCATGGGCTGTAATTTGCTGATAATTCCTCATGTCATAATTTGCTACCTACAATCAACAAAGAGGTTGATTGATGTCTTTAATTTCTCTGCATTCTTTTTTTTTCTACTTACAATGCTATTTTGTATTTTTCCTAATTATAAGATCCATTTTCTGTTATCTAAATTTTTTAATTGATATATAATACATATACATATTTGGGGGAACATGTGATAATTTGATACATTCATATAATGTGGAATTGAGGTAATTAGATCAAACTGAGGTAATTAGGATATTCATCCCCTTAAATATTTATATTTTCTTTATGCTAAAAACATTTGAATTATTCTCTTCTAGCTCTTTTGAAATGTACAAAAGATTATTGTTAACTATAGCCATGCTACTGATCTGTCCAACACTATTTCTTACTTTTTCTAACTGTATATATGTCCATTAATCAACCTCTCTTCTCTGTATTCTTTAGAATTGTTTTTTTGTTGAGATTGCTAGGCCTAGCATGAAACATCCACTTCACCACCACTCAGCAACCTGAGAAAGCTGTAAAATTAGTTATATCCAGGGCTTTTTCTTTATGTTTTGGAAACAATCAAACTATTTGCTGTGAATCATAAGATGATAGTTATTTACTTTCTTATCCTAATTTACTAAATAGGAGGTGAATGGCAGAAAGATCTCTGCAGAGTGAAAAAACAATCAGCACATTCAGGTGCTCTCTGGCTCTCTACTTTAGTAGCTAACCTGTGGTATGAATGATCAACCCTTTTGGAACAGAGCTTAGCATGTGTACTTCTCTTCTCTCACCTAGAGAGGATGACTAACTTGGACCCATGAGCACAGATATACAGAAGAACGAAAGGAAAACCTCTAGTGTTCCTGAATCACCTTGGCATAACTCTCACTACATCTTTCCCACAGAGAACCCTCAAAACACTAGTTTATAGACAGACACTGTGCAAACCCTCAGAAATGTTATGGTAGGCACTGAGAGAAAATGTGCTCAGGCTCTTGTCACAATCAGGAGTATTGAATGCAAGCTCCTTTCAATAAAATCCAGCAGATAACACACTGTCATTGTTCTCGACGTTTATCAATCCAGTAATGAGCCTGATGCAATCCAGACTCATCTATCTCAGCAGGATTTCCTAGGTCATCTTTCTTAGAACAAAGCACTTCTGCTTCCACACTGAAAAGGATGAGACCATTGCGATAAGGCAGAGTGGCGCTGGTAACATGATCTGAATGGGATTCTCAGGACCCCAGTGAGGCAACAGGAGGGAATCCATGTGAACCTGCTTTGAGCTGTTCATAAGAACAGCTCAACGTTTTGTTATTGATATTTTTAGCTGTCTTTGTGTTCCTAGGACTTGGCTGGATTCACTGGATTGGTACAAGAAGATCAAAGACAATCCTTTCCTTCAAAGAGCTCCCATTTGGGAGAAAATAAAAACCTCCTGGTAGCCAAAGACTTGTATTTGTTTGCATTTCTTCTCCATCCCGCAGCTTCTCCTTTCCTCCAATGATTTCACAGAGGAATGGCTTTGGTTGGCACAATTTAATAAAATAGGGTTTCTGTTTGAAAAGGCTAAGAATGGATGAGCTGAATCTTTTGACAACCACTCTTATGTGACACATAATTTTTAGATGCTTACATTTACGTCTCCTTCATTTTATTTTTATGTCTCAAAACCACCAAAAACACAAAATATAATAAAACAGACTTCTGTGTACTATTGAAAAAATTCAATAAACTTTAATAACATCTTTCTCTATTGACTCCAGAATTTTTAAAAACAAAGATGATATTATAGTTGCAACTACAAGCCCAATCCCTCATCTTCCCCCCAACTCTCTGAAAAATCATTATTTGAAATTTGAGGTTTAGTTTTCTTGGAATTTTCAGTTGTATTATAATTGCATACAGTTTATATGATTTTTTAATTTTGTTTCAATATTAACATTTGCATAAGTGCTATCATTTTGAACATATCCTTTTTCACTTGTTTTCTTCATTTAGAATTATGTTTTCAAGATTTTTCTATGCTGTTCCACATAACTTAGCTCATTCAGTTTAATTACCACATGGTCTTCCACTAGGTACCGTGGTTTCTTTACCCGTATTCCTTTTGATTCTCATTTGATTTATTTTGATAATTTTGAGAATCATTTTGATTCTCATCTGGTTTATTTCCTATTTTTTGCTATTATGAAAAATACCTCTTGTATCTTTTCATACATCATACATACGTTTTGAGTTTTAGGTACTTATTTTGATACTCTCTTCTTTTGGGGAATATTAATGAAAAACAAAATTTTTAAATTATTTTTATTGTTTTATTTTTCAACTTTTGTTTTAGGATCAGGGAGTATATGTGCCGGTCTATAACATGGGTATATTGAATGAAGGTAAGGTTTGGGGTATGAATGAACCCATCACCCTGGTAATGAGCACAGTACACAAGAGGTAGATTTTTCAGCCCTTGCCCTCCTCCCTCTCCTTCTCCTCTAATGCTCCTCAGTGTCCTTTGCTGCCATCTTTATGTCCGTGAGTATCCAGTGTTAAACTCCCACTTTTAAGCAAGACCATGCGATATTTTATTTTCTGTTTCGGCATCAGTTCACTTAGAATAATGGTGTCTAGCTGCAACCATGTTTCACGAAAGACATGATTTTATCGTTTTTTATGGCTGCATAGTATTCTACGGTGTATATGCTTTCTTTCTTCAGTCCACCATTGATGGGCACTTGGGTTGATTCCATGTTTTCACTATTGTGAATAGCACTGTGATGAACATACGGGTGTATGTGTCCTTTTGGTAGAGCAATTTATTTTCCTTTGGATATATACCCAGTAATGGGATTGCTGGGTCAAATGGTAGTTCAACTCTTATTTTGAGAAATCCCTAGATCACTGTCCACAGCAGCTAAACTAATTTACATTCCCACCAGCAGTGTTATAAGCATTCCCTTTTCTCTGCAGCCTCTTCGGCCAGCATCTATTATTTTGTGACTTTTAAATAACAGCTATTCTTACTGGCATGAGATGTATCTCGTGGTTTCGATTTGCCTTTCTCTGAGGACTAGCGATGATGAGCACTTTTTCATGTTTGTTGACCACTTACACATCTTTTTTTGAGAAGTCTCTGTTCATGTTCTTTGCCCAATTTTTAATGGGATTACTTGGTTTTTGCTTCCTGATTTGTTTAAGTTCCTTATAGATTCTGGATATTAGACCTTAGTTGGATGCATAGTTTGTGAATATTTTCTCCCAATCTTTAGGTTGTCTGTTTACATCTTTGATAGCTCTCTTTCTCTATAGAAGCTCTTCAGCTTGATTAGGGTCCACTTATCAATTTAAAAAAAATGTTTAAAGGAGAAACGCTCAACTCACCCCTTGTGCTCATGTGTACCTACGCACCCAAAATGAACCACCTTCCTCAAACACTTGTTCTGAATTACAAAAACTTTGTATTTTCATCAACTGCAGTATACTCTATAATATCAGGAAAGCAACTCAGCTTTCATCTGTTAGCTATCTGAGTTTTCTTATTCTCTAAGGGTTTGCTATTCCATAACCAAAGGGAGAATATCTGCATTCACAGGAGAGAAGCTATCCAAGTTCTAAAATGTGCTCATTTCTGGTATTTAGAAATAAGAGAGGTTTTGAAGTTATCTCCAAACTGTGATTTAAAATGGTTGATTCTGGGATTTTAAAATATAGAAACTTGCCATGCTATGTTTCTGGTCTGTGAAATCCTAAACTGCTTTTCTCTACACATAGGCCTATTTCCTTTTCAAGCACTGAAATGACAGTCTTGCTTCTGGAGTTGCTGAGGCACTCAAGCACAGCAACCCTGTTGGCAGGGGTCACTTCTGGGAAAGAAGTGATAATGAGCTTGGTCCAGCTGGGCTGCTGGAAGCCAGTCCCTGAGCAGTGGGGGAGATGAGTGTTTGGGGTTGCCTCTTAAGGTTAAGGGACCTGAGAGCATGTGTGAGAAGGGAGGGGTGTGGTGCTGAATGGTTATAATAACTTTCTAAGAGGATTTGGGGTTTTTATAATGAGATTTAAAAAAAAAAAAAAAAAAAAAAGAAGAAGGAAAAAAGGAGCATGCATTTTGGAGTAAAGCCCAAACCAGGAGTAAAGAGCTCTAGCAAACTTATATTTGGGTCTTTGTCCACCAGGCAGTGTGTTAATCCTCCTTTCCTTCAGAATATAAGGCTCCTTCTCTTCAAATTTCACTCAGGGTTCAAGTCAAGCCCATGCTACAGAGTGCATGTTCTCTCTCGTTTCCCAGTGCCATTCTACTGAGTTCACACTTCCTCCCATACTTAAGTAGCCAACAGGGCTATTGTCCCTTCCTGGTAGTCCCAGAAACCAGAAAAAAATCACGCCAAGCTGAAGGCCTGTCACCTGTCCCTCCCGGAACCAAAGCATTGGGCTGTATTTGCAACCCACACCCCTCTAGACCTCTTCAGATTCTACATGTGTCTATCATCACCACCATACTGGCCTCTTTCTACCTATATTGGTCCCATATTAGACCTATATTGTTGACCGACAGCTTATCTATTATATCAAGTACCTTGTCGATCAACTCAAGGTCAAAAACAGCCTCAGCAGTTACTTGTGATTTAATTCATACACAAAGTTTTGTTGCATGTCAACTAGGTGTCAGTTGCCATGACAGATTCTAGAAAGAGGACATAGCCCTGGTCTTGAAGGGGCACAGTCTGTTGAGGGAGACAGACAAATCTATCAGCATCTACCATGTCAAGGTGCTATAAGACATAGTAGTCACAGCCAAGATATACCCGAAGAGGTATCAGGTGACTCTGGAAGTAGGGAATGGAGACAAGAAAAGGGTTGTGGGAAGAGCATTTTGAGCAGAGCAAGCAACAAATGCAGAGGACCAAAGGCAAGAGAAGGCAGATCAAGTGTCAACACTCTATAAGTAGCACATGGGTAAAAAGAAAAAATATGAAATTCACATAGGCAGCTCTACTCAACAGACTTCAGGCCCTTAAAAAATGGAGAAACATGGCCGGGTGCAGTGGCTCATGCCTGTAATCCTAGCACTTTGGGAGGCCAAGGCAGGTGGATCGCCTGAGGTCAGGAGTTTGAGACCAGCCTGGCCAACATGATGAAACCCCGTTTCTACTGGAAATACAAAAATTGGCCAGGCGTGGTGGCGGGCGCCTATGATCCCAGCTACTCGGGAGGCTGAGGTATGAGAATCGCCTGAACCTTGGGGGGCAGAAGTTGCAGTGAGCTGAGATCGTGCCACTGCACTCCAGCCTGGGCAAAAGAGTGAAACTCCGTCTCAAAAAAAAAAATGTGTAGGAACATGATACAGTCAACCCAATGTCTCCCAAAATATAATTATTTGAAGCAAATACACACTTAGGGCCAGTATTATAACCTGTGACAATAGGGACGTAAGTAAAACAAAGGGCAGGAAATTTGCTCTATGTCTAACTAGAGTATGTGGGACCCTCCTGACAATTTTCTGTTGATTAGTGACAGAGTGATGTCAACCCAGACCATGATTTTAGGGTGAGACTATGGTGGGTCCAGAACAGAGGTGGGAAGAACAGATTCAATATACTATATTTCCTTCTATAGTCACACTTAGATTTAAGCCTAGAAAGGCTTAACTGTCTAAGAACATCAGATTAGACAGCTTGATTTTGTTGTGTTTGTGGGTCAGCAAAAGCCTCTCTCAAGCACCTGAGAGTTTGAAGATAAGAGAACATGGTGAGTCATCTGCAGGGCAGCACTTCCTCTTGTGCACTGGTTAAGAGAGTCCTGTCTGTTCACAAAAGAGGCACTGAGGGAGCCACCAGTTGGCATATGCAGCAGGAAGTCAGGAAGTCAACATAGTGTGGAAATTAAGAGAGGGACTTTACAACAACTCTGAATTAGCAGAAAATATTTATGATTGTCATGTCCTCAGCCGCCATGGTTATTGGGCCCTACTTGGACCACCTATGCAAGACTATAAGCCAGAGAGGGACAGACAGGACAAAGGAAAAATGCAAGCAGAAAGAAGCAAGGAATAAAAGAATTCAACTAATTCTCTTGGGTCAGACAAAAAAAAATCATAGCACTTACGGTTTTGACAGGACTGATTCTCAATTGCCAAGCATAAACCAATGTTTGCTTAGATTAATACACTCTAAGTAATTTACTTACCGGAATTCCTAGTCACTAGAAAACTTCTGAGCACACTTAAGTTTCAAATATACCTAGAGCAGATGCTGCCCTCCTGAGGACTGTAGTGATATTGCTGATTGTCTTGTAATAATTTTAAATAAATTTTGAAGATTACCCAGGTGTGTACCCATTTGCATCTATAAGTTAGTCCATATTGATTTATTCAGAAAAAACTTTTTTGCATAAATATATTTTAGTGTTTTTTCTGTAAAGAAAAATGTTTCCAGATTACTAATTGAAACCTGTCTCCATTAAGACTGTTTTTCCTGTCATGAATCATAAAATCCATTTTGTGAAATCTATTTCGTGAGTCATAACCAGATTTTTTTAAAAAAAGATATAAAATAAAACAGAAAAGAAGAAGTAGAAAACATTAGAAGGGGTCCCACAGACCCTTAACATGACCTGTGTGTACCAGGATATGGTCATCGTGAAGTATAAGAAATGTAAGACTTGACTGATGGGATCATGTGAATGCATGCCTTAGCTAGGAAGTGGCATGTGATCCTTTCCTCACTAGTATCTCGTTTGATTTGCTGGCCTGTGATAGTTAATTCAACCATCAACATAATGGAACAGTGTGGTAGGCAGGATTCTAAGGTGGCTCCCAAGATCACTGCCTCTTAGTGTGCACGCTTTGTGTAACTCCCTCCTAAGTGCAGGCTGAACGGGTGCATGTGATAGAATTTGACTCCCATGATTGGGTTACTAATCTGCTGACTTTTTGATCAACCAAAATGGAGAGTATCCCGGTGGGCCAAATCTAAACGAGTCAGATTTATTTTATTTTATTTTATTTTATTATTATTATTTTATTTATTTATTTATTTTTTGAGACGGAGTCTCACTCTCGCCCAGGCTGGAGTGCAGTGGGACGATCTCGGCTCACTGCACCCTCCACCTCCTGGGTTCAAGCGATTCTCCTGCCTCAGCCTCCTGAGTAGATGGGACTACATGTGCACGCCACCACGCCTGGCTAATTTTTGTATTTTTTTAGTAGAGACGGAGTTTCACCACGTTGGCCAGGATGGTCTCAATCTCTTGATCTCGTGATCCATCCGCCTCAGCCTCCCAAAGTGCTGAGATTACAGGCGTGAGCCACTGAGCCTGGCCACAAGTCAGATTTCTAAAAGGCCTGGGTCTCTCCAGAAAGTTGTGAAGCGTTAAGAGGGCACGAGGGCCCGGCGCGGGGGCTCACGCCTGGAATCCCAGCACTTTGGGAGGCCGAGGCGGGCGGATCACGAGGTCAGGAGATCAAGACCACGGTGAAAACCCGTCTCTACTAAAAATACAAAAAATTAGCCGGGCGTGGTGGGGGGCGCCTGTAGTCCCAGCTACTCGGGAGGCTGAGGCAGGAGAATGGCGTCAACCTGGGAGGCAGAGCTTGCAGTGAGCTGAGATCGCGCCACTGCACTCCAGCCTGGGGGACAGAGTGAGACTCCGTCTCAAAAAAAAAAAAAAAAAAAAAAAGAGGGCATTAGGAGAGGCCACGGGAAAAAGTACCGTTGGTGATTGTTAGGACCTGAGCTGGACGCTGGGCTGACCCCCCACAGAACAAGGGCCTCAGCCCCACAGGTCAAGGAACTGAATTCTGCCAACAATAGGAATGAACTTGGAAGACGACCCCCAGCTTCAAAAAGGAAGGCAGCTCATCTGACATTTTGATTTCAGCCTTGTGACTCAAAGTAGAAAACCCTGTCCAGCCCAAACTGGACTTTTGGCCCACAGACACTGTAAGATCATAAATTTGTTGTTCTAAGCCCCTAAATTTGTGGTAACTTGTTATGCAGCCATAGAAAACGAATGCAATTAATGTTCCACAATGTAATTTTGTATTTTACAATTAACCGTGAAACAAAATGCAGCATAACTTTATCCTCTGCAAAAACGCTGAGACTTTCCACTAGTTTGAGTGATGAACTTTCAATATTTCTGCAGGATGCCTCTTTCAACATTTGCTAAGTTCTTGACAACTGTTACTTTTTCATTATAATAGTTCAATTATCTTTCAAAATGACTTTGTTATTAGAAGGAAAAAGAAAAATGACATGCAAAATACAAAGGCATGATCAAGTTCAAGTTTAACTGCTGGATCTAAAAGAGCAAATAGTATATTAAGAAAAGTGTTGACTCTACTCATGAAACTTTTAATTCATTTGAGCACCATCCCTAAAAAGGGCAAGATTTTATAATATTATATAATATTTGTTTTATTGATTATGCAATGTAATGACAGACCTAGGCATAATACTTTTTAAACTGTTCTTCAAATTAAAGCTTACACACTTCAAAATTGAGATATCTGAAAGTACAAAATATTGAACTTATTAATAAGTCCCTTGAATATTATTTAAAAAGAAAAATAGTGAAGCTTGGCACTGTTTCGTAGCTATTCTACAACAATTAGAAAGTCTCATATTAAAATAGGATTGACAGATTGATTATCTGATAAGCTTGACTACGTGGAAGAGAAGTGTTTTACAGAGTCATGCAGAATGTAAAAACCATACCTGCAAGCTCAAAGAAATCTAAGACTTTTTTGTTAAATGAAGCAGTTATTAACTCCAGGAAAATATGTGAAATCAATGAATGATGTTTTCACCAAAATCTTGTTTATATTGGGAAAGTGAAGGGAACTTCATACAAGAGAGCTATAGTAGACATGAGTACTGGCCACCAGTATTTCCAGGTCTCTCCTCCTTGCTGGACATAGGAGATTATGTTTCCTTGCTTCCTTTGCAGTCATGTGACTGGTGGTGGTAATAGACAGTTATAGGAGATGACACGTGTCCCTTTCAGTCTGAAGCACGAGGGACCTAGTTGGTGCTCTATTTTACATATTCTCTCTCCCTGCTGTTATAAACCCTGGTGCCTTGTGTTGCTACCAGAAGGATTTACTATAGGGAAGCGTTATAAGGTAGAGTGACTACATGAAGCAAGCCCACTTCTGCCCTCTATCAGACATAGACCACAACGGAGAAATAGTTGTTTTTAACCTGAGATTTGGAGATTATTTCTTACTGCAAGACCATGTACACCAAGAAATTGGCAAACTCTTTCTGAAAACCATAAGTGAATATTTTAGGCTTTGCAGGCCACAGTCTCTGTTACATATGATTTTTTTCAACAACTCTATAAAAATATAAAAATCACCCTTAGCTTGTAACAAAAGAGTAGGCTGTGGGTGGAATCTGGCTCATGGACCATAGTTTGTGACCAAGTTCTAGACAACTATGGAGGGGATTATCAGGGGGCTGACAGCTTTCTCAAAAGCTGAGATGGCAGCTTCAACACAGGAGGGGTGGAAATTCACACCCCTCAGGAACATCCTCAACCTTGACTGATGGGAGGAGGTATATATATACCTCAGCTCCTGAGCAGACTAGCCCTGAGGTGTGCATTTATATCTCAGAATTTTCTTGTAGAATTTTCCAGTTGCCCACAGTGCTAACGTGCTTAATAAGTCTTCTTTATTGCCAGTTTTCCCAGTTCTTCCTCAATTCGCCACCCACCTATGATATTTCCTGCACCTTCCAATGAAGCTACTTACCCTTGTCTCAGGATCTGCCTTGGGGCAAACCAAACTAACATACCTATACTTAGGAATAGAATCATTAGTGCAGGAAATTGAGTGTTTCTATGACTAAAATGTAAAATGTGCGCTACTTAGCAGTTAAGCAGGGCAGGGGGGCATTAGGAAAATGGTATCAAAAGCAGAAAGCAGTGACTCATGTTCTGCCATGGTAAGCATCTGGTAAAGCCGTTGCCTGTAACATCTTAGTCTGCGAGACTGTGGGAGAGTGGACCACAGCCCTCACTCACTCTAACCCTTGGATGTGATGTGCACTAAACAGAATCTGCCAAGCACAAACCACCAAATTGGCTTAGCTCTGTTAAAACCAAGTCTTTCATCTATATTCCTGTCTTCGTGCCCCTCCTATATTTTCCTTCCAGTCTATCCACTGTTTATTAGGTGAATACAATCGTCTCCATGGTGGATATGGTACTTCTCTGAGCATGTCTCTCTGCATAGCACAGGGACAAAGCTAAAAATCACATCTATCAAACTTCCTTTCTGCAAGGATTCCAGATGTGACTTAGGGCACACCCATCACTATTGCAGGAAAGGTGACAGTTCCGCAGTTTATGGTGTTTCTGTTGCAAGCACAGCCATGAAGACATTGCCTTTACTGTGTGGCAGCCTTCGCAGAGGTCCCCACATATGGTCCATGACTTTCCTGGGTGGGACAGGTGGGACATGTGACCTATCCACTTTCTGTTGGTGCAAATGTGGCAGGCATGATGATGCAGCCACGATGCTGCTTCCTGATCCCCGGACCACAGTTAGTGCAGTGTGTTAGTGGAGCCAACGGTTCCAGTGGCAGCTTCAGATTCCCCACGTCCCTG
The DNA here is from genome assembly GCF_000001405.40 of Homo sapiens. Taxonomy (NCBI): domain Eukaryota; kingdom Metazoa; phylum Chordata; class Mammalia; order Primates; family Hominidae; genus Homo; species Homo sapiens. Next base: position 77,775,279 of record NC_000013.11, on the reverse strand, counting down.
TCTCTGGCCATGTTAGCAGATCCCCTGGCAGGCCAGATCTGTGCTGCTATGCTACGGGCTGTTCTCAGAGGCCCACCCTAATTGGGCCCACCAGTCCTCCCAGTGATCTTGCAGACACTGAATTCCTCTACCAAATTCTACTTATGTTAAAGGATGCAAAATTACAGCTAGATAGAAGGAATCAGTTCTGGTGTTCTGTAACACTGTAGGATAACTATAGTTAACAATAATATATTTTTATATAGTTTCAAACAGAAGGAGGATAGTGAATGTTTTGCAACACAAAGAAATGATAAATGTTTGAGATGATGAATATGCTAATTACCCTGATCTGATTGATAGGTACTGAAACACCACCATGTACCCCCTGAATATGTACATTTATTTATCACTTACAAAAATAAAATTAGGGCAGGCAAGGTCACTCATGCCTGTAATCTCAGCACTTTGGGAGGTGGAGGTGGTAGGATCACTTGAGGTCAGGAGTTCAAGACCAACCTGGATAACATAGCCAGACATTGTCTCTACAAAAAAAAAAGGTTAAAATTAAATGGGTATGGTGGAGTGTGCCTTTAGTCCCAGCCACTCAAAAGGCTGAGGTGGGAGGATCACTTGAGCCCAGGAGGTTGAGGTTGCAGTGAGCCACAGTTGTACCACTGCACTCCAGCCTGGGGTGACAGAGCAAGATCCTCTCTCTAAAACATAATAACATAAATGAAAAAAATTAATTTAAAAAATTCTCCCTTAAAAAAGCTAATTAGTGCTACCTGCACTGAGCCTGGCTAACATAGAATTAGGTATCATTCTTGCCTTCACATCTTCCCTCAGAGAGATCTAGCTCCCCACTCCTACTTTGCATGAGCTACGAGGCCCTCCCCAAATTGGCTCCTGCCCAGCCTTTGGCTTTGTTTCTTACAGCACTTCCTTATACCCTACAATGCAGCTAAATTAAACCAATCCCTGATTGACTTAGCAATGTAACTTCAGGTCCTTGCACACACCATTCCTTTGTACATACTGCTGTCTCTGCAAGGAATGTCCACTGGCCTTGTGCCTGCTTCCACTCTTGGCTCTCTTTAATTTATTCTCATATAAAGGTAGAGTAAGTTTTTAATTTGCTCAACTCACTCCTTTTGAACTGCATTCAAATCCAACTTCTGCCTCTTAAGAGCTCTGCGTCCTGGCATAAGTTAACCTTTCTGCACCTGGGTCTCCCCATCTTTGAAATGGAGATAATAATAGTATTTACTTCCATAAGGCTGTGTGAGGATCACATAAGTAAAACGTTCTAAAGAGCTACACAGAGTATCTGGCACATAGGAAAAGCATTATGAGTGCTGGTATTATTAAGAAATCATTTCCCATTGAATTTGAAATAAAGCTCAAAGTGCTTCATGTAGCCTTGAGGTTCCACAAGATTTTCCCTCTGCTTCTTCCTCCAACTCAGCTCTTACCTCTTTCCTCTTAGCCGGGGCTGGCTTCACTGGTGTGCCACCTACACAGTATGCAGGGACCCATGATTAGGAGAGTCCCAGACTTGGTTTAATACTCCACTGTCACCATCCTGAAATTCTTAATATGTTTTCAACAAAGGGCCCTGCCTTTTCATTTTGTGCTAGCTCCCACAAATGATGTAGCCAATCCTGACACCAGCACACTGAGGTCCTGCCATCCCAATCTTCTGTTGATCCTTCAAACACCCCAAAATCTTCCCTATCTGTGCCTGGAAAAATCTTTCTCCTTCTCTTCACTTGATTAACTCCTGTACATTTTCAGCTTAAATATCCTTTTCCCAGAAGAGGAGGTCCCAAGGATGATTATTTAAATGGGATACCTTCAGAGAACCCCTATTGAAATAATCCTTTTTCTCTTCCTCTCATTCCCTACCATTCTATATCTCAGCTCCTACTTTTTCCTTTGCAGAAAAGAAATAGTATTTTGCTTATTTGATTTGAACCTTTCTCACTAGAATCAGGAATGTAATTTCCACGATGATAGGAATCATGCCTGACTAATTGGCTATTACATCCTCTGCATCTAGCACAAAACCTAACAAATAGTAGACCCTCAATAATATTTGTTGAATGGATAAACTCAGAGCCTAGTTTAAAATAAAATAATAACACTTAAGCTACCTGGAAAACCTTCCGATCCCATCAAAGTTGATCATTCCCTCTGTCCTAAAACCACTCTGTGTATCTTTTTCTATCTTTTGTCGACACAGTGCTGCATTGTTTATATGACTGTTTTCTCTGAATTTCAGAGAGCCTAAAAGTCTGTATATGATTTCTTCTCCCCAGTCCCAGGCTGACACTTCAATTGCACATACATAGATTAGGTATAACACTAAGGGTCCTTATACTCCCTAGAAGAATGGTAAAGACAAAGATTAATGCAGATGCAAATTGTAATTTCTTGGGTGACCACTAAAAGAATAGCAAAAGACAATTAGGCTATAATTTTCAAACTAGTAGGAAATTAAAACAGAATGATAAAGCAAACTAAAGTAAGACTAAAATGGAAACCAAAGGAACAGACACAACAAACAGAAAGCTCATAAAAAGGTGATAGATTGAAATCTAAATATATCAGTGATTATTTTAAATACTAATGGTTTAAATGCTGAAGTTGAGTCAACAATGTTCATACTAGATTTTTAAAAAAATCAACAAACTATATGATGCTTAACATAAGACTTCTAAAAGTTTGAAAGTAAAAGGTTTAAAAATATACATTATATAAGCACTAAAAGAAATCTGATGTGTTTAAAATTTAACATAGCCTTGATATCAGAAAAGTAGGTTTCAAGACATTAAAAAAAGATAAAGAATAGTTCCATTGATAACAGGTCTACTTTGCTAGGAAGATAAAACTTGTTAAATATGTATACACCAAAGTTACATGGTGTATGTCAAAAAACATAAAGCAAATTTGATAGAACTGTAAGGGGGAACATTTACACTCACCATTATAGAGGGAGGTTTTATCACAACTCTTGGAAATAGAGTAAGTATAAACAACATCAGATTGTAAAACATGACTTGATCTGAACTCTAATTCCTGAAGGCTTCACTAGAGATTTATCACATATTTAAGGGAAAAATAATTCCAATATTACACAAATTCTTCCAGATAGAAAAAGACAAAATATCCCCAACTCACTCTGTGAGATTAATGCTATCATCATTCCAAAGCTTAATAGAGACAGTTTTTTAAAAAATTATGGACCAATTTTATTCATAAAATTGGACGAAAATCCTAAGCATTAGAAAGTCAAATACATCTGTCTTTAAAAGAAAAACACAATCATGACTAAACTGGGTTTATCTCAATAATTCAAAGTTGATTCAACATTCAAAAAATCTATGTTAAAGTCAGCATATTACCAGATTAAATGAGATAATCATTTTAATCTATTAATAATAGATTATTAATAGGATCATATTTTATAGATGCAGAAAAAATCTGTTAAAATTCACATTCTTTCACAATAAAATAATACTATTAGCAAATTTAAAACTAAGGGTAAAATAGAAAGCTTTTTTTCTGAAAATAGCAAAGAGAGAAAGATACCTATTATTATATATTTAATATTGCATCAAAAACCATAGGCAAGAAAGAAAAAAATATACAAATAGGAAAGGAAGAAATAATCTAATATCCATATGTTTGACTGTATGTACAGATACAGTTTCTATGTATTCTAAAGATAAGTTAATATAAACCAACATAAATTTAAGGTTGTTGAATAAAACATTAAAAAGAAACCACTAGAGATAAAATTTTTTAAAATATCATTTACAACAGCATGAAAAATCAAATACTTAGAAATTATTCCGGCAAGATTTCTCCATAGAAAACCTATACAATTTTAATAAGAGATTTAAGAATACTTGAATCAGTAAGAGGTAGATCATATTCACGAATTATAAGACTTGAAATTGTAAAGATTCAATTTCCCTCAAACTGAATGCAATCCCAATCAAAATTCCAATAGGATATTTTTCTTGAACTTGACCCACTTGCTTAAAAATATATATGGAAATGCAAAGAGACAAGAATAGTCAAAACACTCTTAAGAGAAAACAAGGGAGCAGGATTGCTCTGCTATTTAGAAAATCTTATATAAGGCTACAGTGATTAAAACAACATGGCTCTGGTGCAAAAATAGACAATTCCAAAACAGACAAATATAAAGCTATGACAAAAAGCAGTGGGGGTAAGGATGAAGTTTTCAGTGTTACTAGGACAATTAGATATGCACATGGAAAATATAAAATATAATTGTAACCCTACCTTGTACAATATATAAAGATCAAATCCAGGTAGATTATAAATTTATAGGAGAAAAGTAAAATAACAAAACTTCTAGAAGAAAGGAGAATGTATCACGATCCTAGGGTAAGGAAATACTCCTTAAACAAGACACAAAAGAGTAACCTTAAAAAATGGCAAATTGTACTATATTAAAATAATTCTATTTATCAAAACACTCTATTAAGGGAATTAAAAGTCATGCTACATAGGGGGAAGATATTTTTATAACACATATAACTGAAAAAAGGACTATAGCAGAATATATGAAGAACTACTGCAATTAGCAAAAAACCCCAAAAGAAAAATAAGCAAAAGATCTGAACAGGAATCCATCTAATAAATGAATGAAAAGGAAAAGGTATTGGTCTTACTGGCAACCAGGGAAATGCAAATTAAAACCACAAGGAGACATTGCTATACACCCACAGATTAAAAAGTTAAAGACTAACAATATCAAGGATGTATAGCAAGGATATACTGGAATTCTCATACACTGCTGGCAAAAACGTAATATTATACAGTTATTTTGGAAATTGGTTGGGATTATCTGGTAAAGTTAATGGCAATGTTTTACAGGCAGCTTCTATAATTAAGATGGTCCCAATCATCCTCACCTCCAGCATTCACATTTTTGTGTCATTCTCTCCCCATGAATAAGGGCTGGACCTACTGGCTGGCTTCTGATGAACAGAGTAGGGCAAAAGTGATGAGACCTCACTTTCAAGATTACGTTTAAAAGGCCTTAATTTCCATCTTGTTGGATCATTCTGATGAAGCAAGATGCTACTTTTTGACCTGCGCAAGGAGAGGTCCACACAACAAGAGACTATGAGAGCAGCTTCTGTTGACAGCACACAAGGAAATGGGTTTTTCCAACAACCACAAAAGTGAACTTGAAGCAGGTTCTTCCACAAGCATGCTCGAGATGACTGCATCCTTGTAAGAAACACTAAGCCAGAGAACCCAGCTAAGCCATAGCCAGATGCCAGACCCACAGAAACTGAGATAATATTGTTTTAAACCACTAAGTCTTGTGCTAACTTGTTACACAGCACTAGCTAACTAGTACAAATGTAAACCATGCTAGGTTGTCCGTATTAACCCAACACCACAACTCCCTTCCACATTGGAGAAAAAAGCATCCTCTTTCCTGTATGAGTTCCAGGTTGTTATCCGTGGTATCTCCTTTGAGCAACTCACATGAGATAAAGGGCCTAAGTGCCCTAGATCTCAGTCCTGAGTCCTCTCCTATCTACCTGAACTCACTTTGGTGATCTCCGCAAGAACCATGGCTTTTTGAACCTTCTCCCAGCCATAGCCTTTCCCGTATCTGTTGTAGGAGCTCTGTCCTCCTAGTTGATCAGCCCAAAACCCTTGGAGTTTTTCCTCAATTGCTAACACAGCTCATCTAATCCAATAGTTCATCCAAACCAAATAAATCTTACGGTTTTATTTCTAGAATATATCTAAAAATCTGACCACTTTACCATCTTAAATGCTACCACACTGGTTACCACACTGGTTCAATTCTTCATCATCTCATTTGAAAGACCGAAATACTTGAATTCATCCTGGTAGCATCTACACTTGGCCTCCTACAATCCATCCTCACCAAGTGCCAGGTTAATGCTTTTTAAAATAAGTCAAATCCCATACTCTGCTGCCCAAACCCATGCAACAGCTTCCTGTTTCAGAGTTAAGTCAAAGTCCATTTGTAGCCCACCATATCCTACCTGGCCTTGCCCCATCACCTTTCTGAACTCATTTCTATGGCTTTCCTCTTTGTTCCCTGTTTGCAGACACACTGGCCTCCTTGCTCTTCCTCAAACACACAGGCATGCTCCACCTCACAGCCTTCCTCCACACAGGCTATTCCCTCTTTTTTTAGCAGCTTTCCTCAAAGGGTATTCTGCAAATCATCCAGAGGGCTCATTCAATAGATCTGGGATGATGCTTGAGAATATCAGCTTCTAACAAATTCTCAAAAGATGCTGCTGGTGTTAGAATTACACTTTGAAACCACTGCCCTGGGACATCCGCTATCTATAATGTATTAAATTATTTCCTGTGCATTTAAAATAATAATAGTTATAAACCCTCCTGGGAAGAACTGTGAAAATAGTCACTACAACTATTTCATGTTCTGTAGAACTCCAGATGAAAAAGGTTGTGAAACATCTTCAGGACTAACTCTCCATCGTCAAGCCTTTGCTCATACTAGCTCCTTAACGATATTGAAGTGGCATCGTTTGTCTGGGGAAACACCCGAGGTTCGTTGTCTCGCACTAAGAAAAATGAAGACCACAAGGTGTGGGTTTAAGAGCGGAAAGTTTAATAGGTGAAAGAAACAAAAGAAAAGCTGCCCCATGTAGAGGGAGGGGGATTCCGAATGGATCTCCCTGTTAGCAGCGGGATGCGGTTGGTTTTATAGAGGGGCTCGAGGAGGCGGTATCTGATTTACATAAGGCCCAGGGGATTGGTTGGACCAGGTGTGACATTTACATAGCCCTCGAAGACGCTGGCCATCCCACTCTAATCTTTTATTATACAGATGGGGTTTCTACCTGGCCAGCGCCATGACACCTGCACATGTGGTGACAAGGAAAAGGGAAGAGAAAACCTCCATGTTGGATGCTTCTGGCACGGCTGCCGGCATTCACGTATGCAAGCTTCCAGTTGCTTATCTATGTTTGCAGCTTGATTTTTCAGGCTGCTTTTTTTTTGTTAGAAAAGAAATGATTTGGGGGCTGCCTTTTCATTAAAGGAAAACCTTACCAAAGACTCCTGTACCCTCACTAACTGCCTAAATAATTTAACTCCTATATTAATATCTACTGAGGTGACCCTTTTAATAGTATGATTTCTCCCCACCCCTATTTTCTCTTAACTCCTCTTGTCTTGATCTCCTCTTTTCCCCCACAGAACTTATGACCTAACCTGCAGTGATTTTCTTACCTGTTTATGGTTTCTCCCCAACAAGAATGTAAAAGCCAAGATGAAGGGATCTTTGTTATTTTATTGCAAGGGCTAAGCAGACTTTTTTGAATATAAATCAAACATTTGAATGGAGAACGAATCGAATCCTTTTTCTCTGCAGAATAAAAAGTGATTAAAAAAAATACCAGCTACCTGTGTTCATTGGAAGAGAGCATAGTTGTGGGGAAAAATAAGACTTTTGAGCCAGATAAACCTGGATTCAAAGGTAAGCTGCACTATTTAAACATTGCTAAATGTTTACCCAAGACTAATGTCACTAATATGGTTTGGATATTTTGTCCCCTCCAAATCTCATGTTGAAATGTAATCCCCAGTGTCGAAAGTGGGTTAGTGGGAGGTTTGTGGCTCATGGGACAGATTCCCTCTTGAATGGCTTGGTGTCCTCCCCAGGGTAATATGTCCGCATGAGAGCTCTAAAGAGCCTGGCACCTCCGCCCTCTCTCTCTTGTTCCCTCCCACCGTGTGATACACTGACTTCCCCATTTGCCTTCTGCCGTTATTGTAAACTTCCTGACTCCTCTTGGGAAGCTGAGCAAATGTTGGCACCATGCTTCCTGTACACTCTGCAGAACTGTGGGCCAGTTAAACCTCTTTTCTTTATAAATTACCCAGCCTCAGGTATTTCTTTACAGCAATGCAAAAAAATAAACACAGAAAATTAGTACTGAGGAGTAGGGCATTGCTATAAAGATAACTGAAGATGTGGAAGTGGCTTTAGAACAGGGTAACAGAGGTTAGAAGAGTTTGGAGGGCTAACGACAGGAAGATGAGAAAAAGTTTGGGACTTCTTAGAAACTGATTGGAATGGTTATGACTAAAATGCTGACAAGAGATATGGACAGTGAAGGCCAGGCTGAAGAGGCCTCAAATGCAAATGAGGAACTTATTGGGAATTGGAGTAAAGGTCCCCCTTGTCGCTCCTTAGCAAAGAGCTTGCTGCATTGTGCCGATGTCCTAGGAATCTGTGGAAGGTTGAACTTAAGATGACTTAGGGTATCTGGCAGAAGTTTCTAAGCAGCAAAACATTCAAGAAGTGCTGTGGCTGCTTCTAACAGCCTATAATCAGATACAGAAGCAAAGAGATGACTTAAAAGTCAGAATATATATTTAAAAGGGAAGCAGAGAGTAAAATTTGGAAAAGTCAGCCGGGTGCAGTGGCTCACACCTTGTAATCCCAGCACTTTGGGAGGCTGAGGTAGGCAGATCAACCTGAAGTCAGGAGTTTGAGAATAGCCTGGCCAACATGGCAAAACCCTGTCTCTACTAAAAATACAAAATTAGCCAGTGTGGTGGTGAATGTCTGTAGTCCCAGCTACTCTACTCTGGAGGCTAAGGCAGGACAATCACTTGAACCCAGGAGGTGGAGGTTGCAGTGAGCTGAGATCATGCCACTGCACTCTAGCCTGGACAACAGAGCAAGACTCTGTATAAAACAAAACAAAACAAAACAAAAAAATTGGAAAAGTCACAGCCTGGCCCTGTGGTAGAGAAGGAATCCAAGTGGCCTGTGGAGTAACCACTTGAGAGATCAGCATGACTGAAAAAGAGCGAAGAGAATAGGGAAAAGGCCTCAAATGTATTTCAGAAATCTCTGAGGCAGCCCAATGCATCACAGGCTCAGGAGGCCTATGGGGGAAGAATGGTTTAAGGGGCCAGGCCCAGGGCCCCACTGCGCTGTGCAGTCTCAGGGTATCGTTCCCTGCATCCCAGCCACTCTGGGCCCAGCCTCGGCTCAAAGGGCCACAGGCACACCTTGGGCTGCCTCTTTAGAGGGCAAGTCATGAGCCTTGGTGGCTTCCACATGGTGTTAAGTCTGAAAGTACACAGAATGCAAGAGTGAAGGAGGCATGGCAGCTTTCACCTAGATTTCAGTGGATGCATCAGAAAGCCTGGGTGGCCAGGCAGAAACCTGCCACAGAGGCAGAGCCCTCACAGCAGCCTCTACCAGGGCAGTGCTAAGAGCAAATGTGGAGTTGGAGGCCCCCCTGCAGAATTGCCACTGGGGATGGCCTAGTGGAGCTGTGGGAAGGGGGTTGCCGCCCTTCATACCCCAGAATGGTAAAGCCACTGGCAGTTTACATCCTGAGCCTGCAAAAGCTGCAAGCACTCAACTCCAGCCCATGAGGGCAGCCACATGAGCTGCACCCAGTAAAACCACAGAGGCAGAGCTGCCCAAGGCCTTGGGAGCCCACCCCTTGCACCAGTGTGTCCTGAATGGAGGACATGGGGTCAAAGGAAATTATTTTGGAGCTTTAAGATTTAATGACTACCATGCTGGGTTTCAGACCTGTATGTGGCCTGTTGCCCCTTTCTTTTGGCCAATTTCTCCCTTTTGGAATGGAAATGTTTGCCCAATGCCTGTACCACCATTATCTTGGAAGTAAATAACTTGTTTTCATAATACAGGCTCATAGGTGGAAGGAGATGAGTTTCACATCAGACTTAGGACTTTGGACTTGATGTTGGAATGAATTAAAACTTTGGGGGACTGTTGGAAAGAGAAGATTACATTTTGCAATCCAAGGAGGGCATGAGACTTGGGGGCCGGGGTAGAACGATATGGTTTGTATATCTGTCTGCTCCAAATCTCATGTTGAAATGTGATCCCCAGTGTTGGAGGTGGGGCCTGGTGGAAGGTGATTGGATCATGGGGGCAGATCCCTCATGAACGGCTTAGTGCCATCCCCTGGGTGATAAGTGAGCTCTTGTTCTGAGTTCACACAAGATCTTGTTGTTTTTTTAAAAAGTGTAGAAACCCCGCCCCACCCCTTGCTCTCACTCTCACCATGTGATGCACCAGCTCCCCCTTTGCCTTCCGCCATGACTGTGAGCTTTCTGAGGCCTCACCAGAAGCCAAGCAGATGCTGGCACCACGCTTCCTGTACACCCTGCAGAACTATGAGCCAATTAAACCTCTTTTCTTCATAAATTACCCAGTCTCAGGTATTCCTTTATAGTGATGCAAAAACTGACAAATAATCACCTCTGTGGGACTTAGTGTCTTCATCTTTAAAATGGTGATAATAGTAGGTGAAAGTTAGTCCTAGACAAATGTATATAAAATATCTTGCACAGTTCTTTTGACTGAAGGGGTGCTTAATAAATATTACTTCCCTTTTCATATCTTACCTCCTCTAGCTCACATTCCACTTAAAGTGCAAGTTATTTAAACAAACATTCCTTTTAGTTCTAGAGAGAATTACATACAAAGGTACACTTTAAAAAAACTAAAAACCTCTAATGACTATAGGTAGAACTCCATTTCAAAACCTAACCTAAAAATCTTTGCCTAAACTTCCCACAGTACCTTCAAGTAAAGTTTTCCAACATATATCAAATATAATGCAGAATAAGGATAGTACTTGCTATTTTACTGATACTGAGAAAGTATTTCAAATTCAACTCCTATAAAATATTAAAATCTCCACTGACAATGTTCATCTGTAAATGTGTTTCTCAGCAACATGCTGCGTGAGTTTTAGTGGCCTCTTTAAATGGACCTAAACCTCCCTGTAAAACTACCTAACTAAAACTAATGTAAGAAAAATCATACAATTCTTATCAGGAGTACTTGGGAAAAGAAGAATAATTTTACAAATGTGAATATTCTAAGTCTACCTGCTTGAGATATAAATGCCCTGCACAAGAACAGAGTAACAATAAGCATTTTCACAATTGTAGTGAAACACATGTGTAGTTACACTGTTTATGCTGTACATTCATGCATGACCTGATATTGCTGAAATAGAGTCTTTATTTCTGAACATTCCAAAACAGCAGTGTACACAGTAACAAATATTAAGTTATATGCCATAAGAAAGCATTCATTAGTGCAAATGGATTTTGTAAAAGGTCTATCAAAAAGATTTATTTGCTTTAAAATGCATTCATTTCCAGAAGCATTGTTAATAAAACATTACAGTTTCATCCTTCGTAATAAAGTATTGAAAATCAATTGTGGTACAGTAGCAAACATTGCAGGTATTAAGTGCAATGAGCTCATGATGCCGTTATAAATATGAAACCCATGTATGACAATAAATTAAAAATGAAAAAGACAGGACCATTTAATTCTGCTGTCTGGTTATCTCCTTGCAATGCTTCAAATTATGTTGTGCTCATTCAACACAAAATTATGTGTCTCAAATTGCATGATGTGTTTTTGCTGATATATCCCTAGAGCTAAAAAAATAGTACCTTACCACAAAAATATTTTTATGGCACAAAATTTAAGTTGTTCCATAGTGGTTCACATAGGTGTAAAAAGAAATAGGCACAAAAAATAAAATTCCTGTAAACTATAAAAAAGTAAATTTCAAAGCATACATTATAGAACCTAGTTGTCAATATGCAATGTATTAAAATACAGAACATGTAATGGAAAGATGTTTAGAACACGTGAGTAAATTGAACAAGTTACTTTAAAAAACTCATATGGCAAAGCATTATTGATACATCTTAATTCTCTCAAAAAGTATTCAGGTACAGAGCAGTTCTACAAAAACTTCCTAGATCTAAGTGTCACAATACTGCAACCATGGGTTTGAGAATGTTGCAGTATCTCAGGCAAATATTTAAGTGCAATAATTAGTCTCTGGTGACTGGTCCATTGAGAAACAATGCAGTAAATATATTAAAACACAAAAGGGAAAGAATATCCCAACATCCACTGCTACCCAGCCAGCTAGGTAACACAACCCTCATTTTTACTTCTTTCCCATTTTTCAAGGGTACATAAAACTGCATTAGTAGCAACCATCTCTCCAATTTCCATCCCTCAGAGTGCTGAGTGAAGACAGAGGCTTTGGAGGCTGAAGAAAACTAAAAAGAGACAAGAAAAACAGAGAGAGAGATTGTTAATAATCCTATGAGTCACATCACTCACTTTGACCTACTCTCCCATCTATGTTCTTCCACTGCAGTAATGAGAAGCCACTGGCACCATCTCAAGTGTACCTTGTGGTTCACACTTACGGGTCTTCACTGCATGCTTATCTCCCAGAGCCCCAGTTCATGGCAAAGTGTCATGCATGTTGTATTTGCACAAGAAAATTTGCAACATAAATAAAGGGGCCAATACCCTTAATGTATAAAACATATTTTAAAATAAGAAAAATATAGGATCCTGGCTAGAAAAATGACCTAAAAACATAAATGGTTACTCTGTTGAATACAAACAGCAAATGAATATGAAGACATTTTCAAAACCTTATTAGTAATTGAAGATTTGCCTATCATATTCGCAAAACATTTAAAAAGAATCTTTGGCTGAGTGCAGTGGCTCACATCTATAATCCCAACACTTTGGGAGGCCGAGGCAGGAGGAAAACTTGAGGCCAGGAATTCAAGACCAGCTTGGGCAACATAGCAAGACCTTGTCTCTACAATTTTTTTTTCAAATTATCTGGGAGTGGTGATATGCACTGTAGTCCTAGCAAGGCAGGAGGATCACTTGAGCCCAGGAGTTTGAGGTTACAACAAGCTACAACCATAACACTGCACTCCAGCCTGGGCAAAAGAGCAAGACCCTGTCTCTAAAAAGAATAGATAAAATAAAAAATTTAAATTTAAAACAATTAAAAAGAATAATACCTAGCATTTGCTTAAGTTTGGGGAAATAGACCATCTCACATTGTCTAGCAGTGACCTTTCCAAGAGTTTAGTTTGGAGACACATAGTCAAGGATAAATGTATGGTCTACAATAACCATATACATCAAATAATGTGATTCTAGTCAGCCATCAGCATGATGACACAGCTCTGCATTTACAAAGCAGAATAAGCCAAAACTTACTGAATAAATAAACATGTACCAAAATTATTTCTATCTGGCAGTAGGATTATGGGTCAGTCTTTACTTTTCTATTTTTCAATAGTTTCTGTTTTTCGAAATTTGTTGTTGATCTGAGCATCTATTACTTCTAAACAAACAAAACAAAATAAAACTATTTATATATCCATAAATGCATAAAGACAGAAAAAAATTGCTTGTTCCACCTCTTTCAAACTTTTTACTATGGTTTTCTCCTTCTCCTTCATATCCTAATTTCTTGAAAGAGCTGTCTGTATTTATTGTCTTTATTTCCTCATCTACCAATCTCTCCTCAAACCACTTTTATGGATTTTTAATATAAGATACTCCATGATATCCAGTTCAAGAAGGGAACATCATGACCAAGAGCTAGACTAAATGTCCTTTGAAGTACTCTGAAACTTTGAAGGGAAAAAAAAAAAATTACTACCTGGACCATACTGAACTTACCAACATAAGCTGATAAAGCCCCAGGTGAATGTCATTAAGATGCTTTTCAAACCATAAATGTGTGGGAGGAGGGTGTGCGTGTGCACATACGCCTGACACATTTTTCCATATTTTGATTAAAAATGACTGATTCAACAAATATTTGAGATCCTACCTGTATTGGGCATAGTTCTTGGCATCGGGGATACACAGCAATGAACCAAAAAGTCAACCTCCCCCCGCCCTACAATTTTTGGATAGAGCTGCCATCTGAGCAAAGACCTGAGGGAGGCACAGAGCAAGCCATGCAAATAACTTGGGAGCAGAAAGCTACAAAAGCTCTGGAGACAGAGCTTATCTGGTAAAAGCAAAAGCAAAGAGCGTCTTAGGAGTGATAGTGATGAGGGAGTAAGGGAAGAAAATGACATCAGAGAGAAGGGGACCTGACCCACACAGGGATATCCATCACTTTTCAAAGGGAGGAGAGCACAAGTCAGGCCATAAAGGGTAGTGTCTTACTAAGGTTAAAGTGAGCCAAAGGAAAAGTCAGCGTGTGTCTGGAGCAGTTTCTAGTTCCAAACTGCAAATGAAGTTACGCAAATACACATTCTTACCTTCTAACAGGTTGTGCAATTTTGCTTCGAGGCAGGTTACTCCCATTTATTGCCAACGAAGGTCTTGGGAGTGCACTGCGACCCATTATCCCAGAAGCTGCAGCTTTGTTCGGTGTGGGGATTCCTGTGTTGGAATACAGCTGTAAGCCGTTTGATAAAGGCATGTTACTGCTGCCTTGAACGGTTGGACTCACATAGGCTGTGGCTTTAAGAGGCTGTCGGATAGACACTGGGAAATGCCCCACGCTGTGGACCCTGTGTTGAAGCTGTCCCGGTGATGGAACTAGAAGAGAAAATGATATTCATGTGAGCAACCTTCTACCACTATCCGACTTAGGAAATGTGTGTTATTTTCAGAAGAGTCCATTATGCCTGAGAGTACAATATACACAGGAGGAGAAAAACAGAATATAGGTTCCAGACAGCACTGAGAAATGGAAAATTCTAATCCTTGACAAAGATCTCCTGGTCTGTCCATCAGCCACATTTTGGAGTGCCTGGCTATATGCAGAAGCCAGTTCTAAGCACAGCCTCCTTTCCTTTACAAATGTGATGATGTCTGAGTTCTCACAAGAGAAAGTCTTCCCCGTTTGCTTGCTAGACATTAGGATTTCTTGATGCTTGCTTTGGTGGTGGTTCCAAGAAAATAAAATGAGGAGATACTTTAATAGTTGTAATTACAGAAAAGAAGACAAGGTGGTATCTGTAGGTACAAACAGTTTATTACAGATATATTCCTTAAATAATATTCATTATGTCATTTATCTATCTGAGTTGCTGGGCATTATTACATTTATAATAGTAGCAAAACCTATAAAATGAAGGGCACTGGGAACTCTCTGGATAAGAACCCTTAAAAATTTCATCAATATACTGATCCAACTTTGTGTATCATTTCACATTAAAAGTAACAAACTGGTAGGCAGAAGTTTTTAAATTTTTTAATCCCTTTCTCCAAGGAAAACAATCAAATTTAATAGAAACTTATGCACAGAATTCTGCTTACATACTAACTACCCAAGCCTTTGATGCCTAGTACTGGCAACATGGTTAAACATGGACATACCCTGTTTTCTAAAACAGTTGAATTTACTTAATCATGAAATATATAAATACTTTTTTGAAATAAATATAAGGGGGAAAAAGACCCAAAAAAGTATCTATGGTTTTATTTATCATCTCTTGAAAATATTTCCTTAAAAATAGTTTTTCCTTAAATTTTTTTTCCTTAAAAAATGTGTTTAATTATACAAGGCAAAATCTATACACAGAAATACTGATACATGTGCTATCAAAAAGATAACACATCATGATCAAGCAGGTTTCATCCCAGGGATATAGAAATGGTTTAACATAGGCCAATCAGTAAATGTGGTACATCACATAAACAGAATTAAAAACCAAAACTATATGATCATCTCAACAGATACAAAAAAGCATTTGATAAAATCCAGCATCCCTTTATGATAAAAACCCTCAACAAAACAGGCATACAAGGGACTTACTTCAAAGTAATAAAAGCGATATATGACAAACCCATAGTCAACATCATATTGAACGAGGAAAAGTTGAAAGCATTCCCCCTGAGAAATGGAACAAAACGTCCTTCACAACAATGTCCACTTTCACCATTTCTAGTCAACATAACACAGGAAGTCCTAGCCAGAGTACTTATAGAAGAGAAAGAAATAAAGGGCATCCAAATTGGAAAAGAGGATGTCAAACTGTCACTGTTTACCAATAATATGATTAGATACCTAGAAAACCCTGAAGATTCATCCAAAAAGCTCCTAGATCTGATAAATGGATTCAGTAAAGTCTCAGGATACAAAATCAATGTACACAAATCAGTAGCACTGCTGTATACCAACAACAACCAAGCTGAAAATTAAATCAGGAACTCAATCCCTTTTACAACATCTATAAAAAATAAAATAAAATACTTAGAAATATACTTAACCAAGGAGGTGAAAAATCTTACAAGGAAAACTACAAAACACTGTTGAAAGAAATCACAAATGACACAAACAAAACACATCCCATGCTCATGAAATGGAAGAATCAATACTGTGAAAATGACCATACTGCCCAAAGCAATCTACAGATTCAATGCAATTCTATCAAAATACCATCATCATTCTTCACAGAACTAGAAAAAACAATCCAAACAATCCTAAAATTCATATGGAACCAAAAAACGGCCCACATAGCCAAAGCAAGACTAAGCAAAAAGAACAAGTCTAGAGGTACCACATTAACTGACTTCAAATTATACTACAAGGCTATAGTTACCAAAACAGCATGGTACTGCTATAAAAATAGGCATATCGACCAATTGAACAGAATAGAGAACCCAGAAATAAACCCTAATACTTACAGCCAACTGATCTTCAATAAAGCATACAAAAACATAAATTGGGGAAAGGACACCCTATTCAGTAAATGGTGCTGGGAAAACTGGCAAGCCACATGTAGAAGAATGAAACTGAATACCTACCTCTCACCTTATACAAAAATCAACTCAAAATGGATCAAAGACTTAAATATAAGACCTGAAGCCATAAAAATTCTAGAAGATAATATTGGAAAAATTATTCTGGACATTGGCTTAGACAAAGAAATCATGACTAAAATCCCAAAAGCAAAGGCAACTCAAACAAAAATAAATAAATGGGACCTAATTAAACTACAAAGCTTCTGCACACCAAAATAAATAATCAGTGAGTAAACAGATAACTCAGAGTAGAAAAAAATATCTGCAAACTATGCATCTGATAAAGGACTAATAGCTAGAATCTACAAGGAACTCAAATAAATCAACAAGAAAAAAAACAACTAATCCCATCAAAAAGTGGGCAAAGAGCATGAATTGACATTTCTCAAAAAAAGATACACAGCCAACAGACAAATGAAAAAATGTTCAACATCACTAATCATTAGGGAAATGCAAATTAAAACCACAATGAGATACCACCTTACCCTGCAAGAATGGCCATAATTAAAAAGTCAAAAACAATAGATTCGGTGTGGATGTGGCAAAAAGGGAACACTTTTACACTGCTGGTGGGAGTGTAAATTAGTAGACCCACTATGGAAAACAGTATGAAGATTCCTTAAAGAACTAAAAGTAGAATTACCATTTGATCCAGCAATCCCACTACTGGGTATCTACCCAAAGGAAAAGATGTCATTATTTGAAAAAAAGACACATTCATACGCATGTTTATAGCAACAGCATTTGCAATGGCTTAGATATAGAACCAACCTAAGTGCCCATCAACCAACGGGTGGATAAAGAACTGTGGTATATATACACCAAGGAATACTACTCACCCATAAAAAGAAACAAATTAATATTTTGCAGCAACTTTGATGGAACCAGAGGCCATTATTCTAAGTGAAATAACTCAGGAGTGGAAAAGTAAATATCGTATGTTCTCTCATGTAAGTGGGAGCTTAGCTATGAGGATGTAAAGGCATAAGAATGAGATAATGGACTCTGGGGACTTGTGGGGAAGTCTGGGAGGGTGGTGAGGGATAAAAACTACATATTGGGTACAGTGTACACTGCTTCGGTAACAGGTGCACCAAAATCTCAGAAATCACCACTAAATAACTTATCCATGTAACCAAAAACCAGCTATACCCCAAAAACTATTGAAATAAGAAAAAAAAAAAGAAATGTTGATACATGTGTATAGTAGTCAAAAAGCTTTATAAAAATAAAGTCTATGTAAGATCCTCCCTTAGGTGTGTTCCCATTTAGCTTTGTGACACAGCAAAGTCCTCTTGGTTGACGAATCATCTCTAAGATTCTTTCTAATCAATTCTGTAATGCCTTAATTTGCTAGTTTTTAACCATGCAAATATTTAATATACTAGTTCAGCAACTGTAACAAGTCTACTGCACTAACACAAGATGTTAATAATAGGGGAAACTAGGAAGATACAGAGGGTGAGGGATTACATGGGAATTCTTTGTACTTCCTGTTCAATTTTTCTATAAACTGAAAACTGCTCCAAAAAAGTGTTAATTTTTTAAAAACCTTCAACACATGAATTTGGCTCAATTTCTTCTGAAGCATAATATACATAAAATACATACATCTTAAGTCTACAGCTCAGTGAATTTTCAAAGTGCATATGTTCATGTAACCACTAATCATATCAAGATAAAAAGCATCACCAGCACCTTACAATGCTCTCTCATGCCTCTTCCTAGTCAAAACTCCCCCAAAGGTAAGTGTTATTCCCACTTTTATCACAACAGACTGTTTTTCCCTATTTTGAGCTTCCTAGGAATAGACTTATTAGTATGTTAACCTTTTAATCTGGCTTCTTTCACTCGACACTTTGTCTGTGAGATTCACCTGTGTTGCTGTATTACTAAGCAGTATTCCATTGTATAAATGTGATTATTCCCCTGATGACAGAAAGCTAGGTTATTTCTAATTTGGGGTTTTATGAACCTCCTTGAACATGTTTTGGTGATCATATGCACTCATTATGTTGGGTAACTATTAGGAGATATTAATTTAGCAAAGTTGCTGGATTCAATATCAAAACACAAAAATCAATTATATTCAAAATACCAGCAAACTAGTAGAAACTGAAAGAAACCTGAGGAAATACTATTTATAAAAATACTACTTATTAAAAATCACAATACCTAGAAATTAATTTAACTATAGAAACATAAAACCTCTATATAGAAAGCTACAAAACTTCACTGATATTAAAGACCTGAGTCAATGGAGGACTATTACATATTAATGGATGCAAAGACTTAATATTGTTAAGATCTTCCAAAAATTGATCTGCAGAGTCAATGAAATGCCAACCAATTTCATTTGAAATGAAATTACAGAACAGTTTATTCAGGAATAGAGTCCTACTATCTCTCCTACATGTAACATATATAACCACCCTTGATTTAAAAAAAAACACATAAGAGAAACTAGTTAGAATTAATAGGCATAATCCTAATTTTACAACTGAGAAAACAAGACTGAGAAAGAATACTTAACTTTCCAAAGAATTTATGATTAAGAAAAGACCCAAAACCAGGTCTTTGACTACAACTGTGTTCCTCCTTCTATACTTGCAGCCTTTCCAACTCTCTATCCTACCTCTGTTCTTTCCAGAAAGCAAAATGGCCCAGAACCAGAAATTGTCATGATAGGAACTTAGAATGCATAAAGAACAGTGGCTTAGAATGCTCAGAAATGAAAGTAAATGAGAACATAATCTTAAGATTTGAAACAAAAGTTATGAGAGTCCTCCTTCTCCTACACTTTAATATTCTTCTTGGGGGCTTTCTCTCAGTATTATGCTTGACTTAGAAATGATGATTTTTATATTTTCCTCATTGCTTTTACACGCATGAATTGGAATCTACTACAAAGAGGATGTTCCCCTCTATTTATCCAATTAAGTATGAACCCATGCATATTTATTTTATTCCATCAGTTATAATCCATTACTATAATTATTTACTCTGTGGCTCAAACTGCCCCAAATTTGGCCATTAGGAGGTTCCTTCAACTTGGTTCCTGTATCCTTTTGACATTTTCCCGTCATTTTGGGGGCACTTCAATCAAGGCTGAACATTCTTTGCAGTGTACATTCTATTTTGGGCTACATACATTTTTCTGGCACTCAAATCTGCTACTAATACACATTGAGTTGGAGTCAACAAAAATTCCTAATTGTTACTATATTTGCTATTCTCCAAACTGTATTTCTCCCCTCCCACACTTACACTATTGATTTTTTTTTTTCTTTTTTCAAGACAGGGTCTCATTCTATCTATTGCCCAGGCTGGAGTGCAGTGGTGCAATCTTGGCTCACTGCAGACTCAACCTCCCAGGCTCAAGTGATCCTCCTACCTTGGCCTTCCAAGTAGCTAGGACTACTGACATGTGCCACTATGCCTGGCTAATTTTTGTATTTTTTGTAGAGACGGGGTTTCATCATATTGCCTAGGCTGGTATGTTACTGATTTTTGTAATTCAGACATAGAATTGTATATTTCTATCAGCTAAATTTCTTCATGATACATTTGGCCCATTCTCCTAACCTCCTGACATAAAATGAGTTGTTAGTCCTCTCGGTTTCTACTATTGGCAAATTTCATAGGTTGTTTATGTGTCCTTATACAAGTCATTGGTTCTAAATATTTAATAGGTCAAGCCTTAACATAGAATCCTGTGGCATTCATTCAAGCATTCACTGAGAGTTCCTTATGTTCTGGCAATACGTCAGGCACTGGGAACAGAAAATCAAATAAATGATGGCCCAAGCCCAGAGGGAGCTTACAATCTAGTAAGGAAGACAAACATATTAATAGTAAAACATGGTACATTGAATAACAGAGGTAAGCACCGAAAATCTAATCCACTCTAGTATTGTTTGGGGGGTATTTGAGAAAGTGTGTTAGGGTGATTAAGTAAGCAATGAAGACTTCCAAAGGCATGGTATTTGGACTGTGTTATAAAAGTAAATAGGAGTAAACTGAACGAAGAAGGAAAAGGAAGAATGCTAGGCAGAGAAGAACAGCACGTGGAGCTAGAATATGATAGCAGTTAAAAGCTCTGGGAGTAACCAGACCTAGGTCTGCCTCTCTGCTCTTCCAACTGTATGGCCTTAGACAAACTGTTCCTTAACCTATCAGAACTGTTGCCTCTTCCACAAAATAAGAATGGCAGTAGAAACTAATTCATAGAGTTGTTGGTAGAACTAAATAAGATAATGAATATAAACTAGTTAGCACAGTTCCTTGTACAGAGTAAATGATGTCACTTGGTTGTTAGGAACTAAAACATAAAGAAATGAAAGATCGCTGCATGTTAGGGAGATACAACCTGACACCTAAAACTAAGTTTGAGGGAGAAAAGCTACAAACCATTTTGGATGCAGACTTAAAACATCCGGTTGACGACTCTTGGCCAGTACACTCAGAACATGCTCAGCCTCCCAAGTTTGGGCATTTTTATGAATACTGGTAATATAACCTTGTGCCTTCCTCCTGGAAGTCAGTGTAAGACTTAACTGCAACAACCCATATAGACAGCATGAGTAGGAATAGGGGGATGCCGAAGCAGCACATCCCCACATAAAGTGAAGATACACAGCACTAGGCCTAATGCTAACTGTGTCACTCACTGCTGGGTAAAACATAGAAAGTAAGTAACAGAATGTGGGGTAAGCTAAATAGAGTGGACAAAAACTACTTTAGACACTCTAAAATATAACTTCATTTAGGGGGAAAAAGACAAAAGTATGCATAGGTGAAAAACAAGACAAAAGGAACGGCTAAACAGAATTAAGTGTGCTTATTCAGGTAGACAGCTAGAAGGAGGAGGATCTGCAAGGAAAACAATTTTTGTATGATGAGTGGATAAATCAATCACCATGTAGTACTTCTACTATCCTAGGATATAAAGGACTACAAATAATTTACTATTATTATACAAATAACAATTTACTATTATTAATTGATACCACAGGCACTGGTAAGTAATTTATACCACAGGCACTGGTAAGTTGAATAGTAAATATACTATTTGAATAGTAAAAATACTATTCAACTCTAATGGTGAAATAAAAAAATAAGTTACACGGCAAGGAAAAAAGTTTAGTGTTCTTTCAAGTAAATACAAAGAAATAAAACAGACATTTTCCTTACAATTAAAAATTATAAAAAATTATACAATTATACAATATATAATTATATCAAATAATTATACTCACTACAAGATTGTATTCTTGAAATTCCATTTCCAGCTCCATGCAAGCTTGAGTCAAAACTCTGACTATTTCGCACGGTGACCGGAGAACTAATGTTGCTACTAATGGCAGTTGTACTTGGCATCCGGGCTAGGTTAGGCATACTTCTTCGGAGCTTATCTGGAAAAGAATTTTACTAAGTTAAAAATGACAGATGTTATGCAACCAAAGTACTAGCTTTCAAAAGCAAATAACAAAAGTCATATTGTGCTCAATAATAAATACAAATTATTACATGTTGATGATCAAGCTTTCTAACCTATTGTACAGGAAAACACCCTTCCCAACCAGAAGGGTTCCCACCAAATAAGCATGTGTGATGGTTAATATTGAGTGCCAACTTGATTGGATTGAAGGATGTAAAGCATTGCTCCTGGGTGTGTCTGTGAGGGTGTTGCCAAAGGAGATTAACATTTGAGTCAGTGGACTGGGAGGGGTAGACCCACCCTCCATCTGGATAGGCACCATCTAATCAGCTGCCAGCATGGCTAGGATAAAAGCGCAGAAGAATGCAGAAGGAGCAGACTTCACCTTTCTCCTGTGCTGGATGCTTCCTACCCTCGAGCATCAGACTCCAAGTTCTTCAGCTTGTGGACTCTTGGACTTACATCAGTGGTTTGCCAGGATCTCTCAGGCCTTTGGCCACAGACTGAAGGCTGCACTGGCGGCTTCCCTACTTTTGAGGATTTGGGACTCCGACTGTCTTCCTTGCTCCTCAGCTTGCAGACAGCCTATCATGGGACCTCACCTTGTGATCGTGTGAGTCAATACTCCTTAATCAATGCCCCTTCATATATACATTTATCCTGTTAGTTCTGTCCCTCTAGAGAACCCTAACTAATACAATGTGTTAAAGGAGAACGAAACTTCTATAAAAAGACTTAGGGACTAGCTAAGCAGTTAGCTATCTGTTCCTATTCAATAAGTGGCTAAAACTATATTTAAAAAGTTAGAAAATAATCTTATAGCCATTAAATTTACCAAAACAACCCTAGAAATTAAGTTACATGCTTCTTAAAAAAAAAAAAAAAAAAGAACCCTAGAAGAATCAAAACCAACATTTACTGAATCTTTTGCTACCATATCAAAATGGAACAAATTAATAAAATTCAAACTTCAGATGTCTTGAAATATCCACTCATCACATTAACATGACCACATTAATCTCTGGAAAGTTTTAACTTTCATGAGTACGCCACCAAATGTTTGCAGATAAAAAAGACCAAGAGAATGCTTCAATTTTTTTGCCTTGCTAAGTTCATCTTCTGCCACCAAGAGGCAGCAGAGAGTCACATACAGATCTCAATGTTGAGATGTGTGAAATAACACATGTGAAATAAGCCAGCCACAAGACCACAACTCTATGAGACACTTTTTCCTTGATCAATACACATCCCCCAAAAACTAAAGTACCTATGTCAGGTCATTTAAACTGAAAAAAAAAGCATATATACGAGTACTAAGCCATAACTAATTCAAGGACAAAACTAATTCAAGTACTCGATTCCACTCTTCCTAGAGCACAGCATGCGTCACCCACTTGCTGAAATCCCTCCAACTCCTCAATTCCTCCCCTGCTCCCTCTTCTGAAAGGCCAAGCTCCTGAGCACAGCCCAGATGAGGGCTTCAAGGCCCAGGCTCTTTATACTTCTCCAGCCTGGCCTCTCAGCCTGCTCCCCGACCACAGGGGTGAACTCTCTCATACCTGTGAGCAGGCTGGTCCCTCCATGTGGACACCCAACCTCACTTTGGAGAAGGAACAAATGAACAAGGGAACAAACATCTATTGTGTTTACACTAAATACCAGACACTCTGTGAGCTGTTGGGGATACCACAGTGTATTAGGCAGATACAGTCCAGAGTCTCATTGAGTTTATAGTCAAGATTTATGGTCTAGGTTTATAGTCTAGACCAGTGCTTCTCAATCCTTCCCCACCCATTGTTGATCCTAAAGAGAAAATCTAAAATAAATTTAATTAAACTTAAAATTAAATTTTTTCCCAAATAAAATAAATATTAAAGATTAACATTTTGATAGGGGTAAACCATGGAAGATCATAAATCATTGTAATATCTAAAATTTTTTTCACCCCTCCAACTTACAAGATATTTTTATCTTTATTGATATATACCGCAAAACACTAAAGTGCACATATCAGAGCATTCAATCTTGTGGTCATTTTCTTTCAAGCAAAACCAGAAAATAATGATATACTTGAATGCTAATCCAAAAGGCATTCAAGTCAAAATCAAACTCAGCTCTTCTTATTCCCCTTTCATACACTACTCCTTTGACATTACTAACACCTATTAAATGTTGCCATGTCCAGCAATTTTTGCTCCCTTGGGGTGGAAAAGGCAGAAGATTAAACAAGCACAATAAGTATACTTAGATAATATGTATAATAAGAGAGCATAAAAAATTGTAGAGAGTGCTATGGTAGAAAGCACAAAAGAATATTTTACTCATGTGGGTCTTACTAATACTTTAAGAATTGGCACAATTATCCCCACCATAGAGAAGCTTTTCTATGGACTTCCCAGCTGGAAGTATCTACCTCTCACACATTACTTTCTGTGTGTAGTTCTAGAGTAAGGATGCTCAAATATTGCCACTGACTGTTAGATTCCTTGGCAATTTTCCTCATTATCTTCTTGATGCCTATTTTTAACAATCATACGTCTCGTATTCCCAAATTCCTATTAAAGTTCCCAGCCTCACAGAGCAGGTACTTTATATATCAGCAAATATTATGTGTATGATTTGGCAGACAGTGTGTAGTAAGAAGGGAGGAATTAGAAGGATTCATCTCTACATAATCTTAGTGGCCATATCTAGATCTTTTGACTATTACAAAAACTGGTGTAAAAAAGACAGCCTCTATCAGTACTAGACTATTTTCACTATACATATTTCCAATACATATATTTTTAAGCAGCAGGGAGGCACAGGAACATAATTATATGCTATTGAGAAAATTAATTGAGCTTCTATATTTCTTTTTAAAATCTCTCTCCAACTATTTACTATAATAGTTTTCATACATATAGAAATGTTAAAAAATAGTATCATAAACACCTGTTTTTCCACCTGGCTATACTGGTTGTTTCCATTTTGCCATATTTAATTCATCTCCACATGTACTTTTGTTTGCTTTGCTAAACAAGATAAAACTTCAGACATCTTGACACTTTAAATGCATATTGATCTCCTGAGAAAATTCTATGGAATCACAATATTGTAATCACATGTAAACAAATTAACAATATCATATGATAATCTGCATACAAAATTTTTCAGACATCCCAAGAATATCTTTCACAAGCTTTTTCCTCTAAACCACGATCCAATCAAGGTCCATACGTTACATTTGGCTATGCCTCTAATCTGTGTTAGTCTTTAAAACCAATCTTTACTCATATTTAAGCAACAAGTCAGTTTCACAAAGCTTTAATCCTGAAATATGCTCTTAAAAATAAGGTCTTCCAAGTGTAAATATTTAGGACACTATTCCCCTTGGAACAAAGCTGTGATCTCCAACTTGTGTCAGACCATCTGGAAATGAGGTACATTTCCTGTCAAACAATGTGGAACGTTTTAATAACCACATATTCTTTAAAGTTCAGGGAACCAAAAGTAATGTTCTAGTTCTATCTTCACAAGAAATCAGCAGTTTAATCTTCAAGGGCTGAGATGCAGCAGGAAACTGGAAGAATAGACCAAGTAAAGAATTCAAATGAGCTTGCTCACATTAAAGAGGCAGCAAGACTCATCACTCTATGAACAAAGACTCAGGAATCTTTAGGACTAAAGGAGACACTCATTGTCCACCAAACAGCTAGATCTAGGCATCCAGGCAACACAGGCTCCAGGGGAGGTCCTCATGATAATAAGGACTACATCATGCCTCCAGTAACCCCTGCCATACCGTAGAATTATAAAAAAGTTGGTAAAGATTCTACAAGTTGAGTCATTTTGATATTTAGCAAGTTATTCCAGTTATGCTTCTTTTAATTCTATGAATCTCAGAAATATCCCAGAAAGTTTTATGAACCATCTCTTTAAATCTAGGCAGTGTAGGAACTACAAAAGCAGTAAATATTAATATACATTTCTAGTTTATTCTCAATTATTTTAAAATGAATCAACAGTTTACAATTATTTTCTATCTATATTATTTTGATAATTTAGAAAAATATTTAATAGATTAGCTTCAAAGTTACCATTCTTATTTCAGTTTTTTGCTCAATATTCTATAGTAACAAATGCAGGCTAGGACATCTGAATCATATGTTAATAAAAGTTTAAAAACAAAAGGGGAGAAGACAACCTTTATTTAGCACATCCACTCCAGGCTACATGCAATGTAACATTCATTATTTCATTTATTCCTTATAATATATTTAGGTGGAGAAAATGTGTACCAGATGGTTTGGTGTGAAATTATACCTAAGTTTCCTAAGAGACAGATATCATCTTGTCCACATTTTAGTTAGGGAAACCGAACCTTAGACAGTTGAGAAACACAGGATCTACTGGACTTCAGAGCCTCTGCTCTCAACCATTAAGCTAATTAGTCAGAAGTCATATCCAGAAGATTGCCTTTGTATTCCATTTTTCTTGTATTGTGAAAACTAGACATTTTAGGCAAAATAAAACTACCATAAAGGGACCTAAACTGTGATATGTCTCCACTTTCCTGTGAAGAGTATCCCAGCACAGGATTCACAGAAACCTAATCCTTTTCAAACGGTGTTTGATGGAAGTGAATACCACTTTTCTGAGGTGCAACAAACAGCTAAGCGGAGAAAAATGATCCCATTGACAATATCAATCAAGATGCAGAGCTAGCATCTGCTTGGCAACTTGACTACGATGTTCTAAAACACTTTAAGTAAAAAAAAAAAAAAAAAAAAAAAAAAGCTTTAGAGAAATAACTCTAGGTGCCCTCTCAATTTTAATAAGATGTTATGACTTCCACTAAGCACATGGAATACATTGTCTTTCTGATCTATGAGCTTTAATATGTTAGTCATGATGACATTTTTTAGCCACCACTCCTTTAAACTTGAAATCTCAAGGTAGTAAGAGAAATTACAAATACAAAATTTTAAATATTTCCAAATGATCTCTTAATTAGCATCAGCATGAATGATACCAGTATAAAGGAAGAAAGGGTAAAAACTAAATACAGGGTTATGGCTGATCACTAATACAAAATTTATATTTGGCCTATAAATATTTTTAAAGACCATTTGATCACATCTGGACCCAGCTTTGAGAAATAGTGCTATATAATAATTAAGAACTGTAATTGTATAATTATAAATTTTTTTATTGGTTTGTTTCTCCATAATATATAGAATTTATGTGTGAGGGTTCAGGTGATCATTAGTACAAAAACACAACAGGCTTAGAATATTACATGATTGCTTCTCCCATAGTTCTTAGAAGTCAGAGTCCAACTTCTGCAAGTGTGGAAGAAAGATAAATGATGAAGAGATAGAATAAACGAATGACACAGACAGCAACCCACCATGTTGACAAGACAGATCAATTTCCCATTACCCTGTCAAATGCTAATGGAAAGCAACCTCCATGTTCCTGCTGCTACACAGATCTTAATTCTAGATGTCAGGAGATCAGAGGGAAAGACACATCCCAAACTTGCCTAGATCTGGCTGTGTAAGAGCAGCATCCTCTGCAAGCATCATCATTCATGCTTACAACCTCACTCTGTGCTAGGAACAGACAGTAAGAGACTGAAGGCTGTGGACAAGGTAAGGAATGACAACTCACAGACTTTGCCTCCATGGGCTTGACCACAAACTTCTCAGCTTGTACAACCCTGCCTCTGCCACAGGCACCAGCAACAATGCAGAGATGCCGCACATTTATAACTCATTCCGAGCCAGCTATGTCATGAAGGTTTTCTTGAGGCTGTGCGTTTATAAATCTGGGACACGTAATCAGAAGCCAGTCAATTAGAGACGCAAATTTAGACCAAACTGAGAAGGTCTGGAGGATGATTTTTAATCTGAGAAACATTGACCAATTATCTATATTTCTCTTAAAACCATTTCTTGGCCGGGTATGGTGGCTGTCATCCCAGCACTTTGGGAGGCTAAGGCGGGCAGATTACCTGAGGTTAGTGGTTCAAGACCAGCCTGGTCAACAGGGTGAAACCCCATCTCTACTAAAAATAAAAAATAAAAAATAAAAAATAAATTAGCCAGGCATAATGACACATGCCTGTACCCCGGCTACTTGGAAGGCTGAGGCAGGAGAATCGTTTGAACCTAGGAGGTGGAGGTTGCAGTGAGCTGAGATCGTGCCACTGCACTCCAACCTAGGAGACAGAGACAGATTCTGTCTCAAAAACAAAAACAAAAACACAAAAACCATTTCTTGACCACATATAAAAAAATTAAAGCATATCAAATACCAAAAAAGCATACAACCTACCTCCATTGGTCCTATTTGGTTGCTGATCTGGAGTTTGGGCTTGAGGTGAATAATACTGTTGCTGCTGGTAATTATTTGAAGGAAAATACTGGGAACTGGGGCTCCTCCTACACTCCCGAATGCTGGAGAAAGTCTGTGAATGGGGAATTCCTCTTTGGAAAGGGGAACATCTTGGAAGACGAGGCTGAGGTGGTGGCAAATGATCAAATTCCTCTTCATCCTCCAGACTGTATTGGTCATATTCTTGATCACTACATGTCCCTTTTTTTCCTGAACTCAATGACACACTGGAACTATGTCTTGATACAGATGCTGAAGTAGAAGCATAATCTTGCCTGAGACCTATAAAATAACAAATAGTACTCTAATGTATTTTGATCTAGCTAACATTTAGTTATAATTAACCAAGTATTAGATGAAAAATTGTGCCAAATAAATTACTCACAGAGACTTATTATCTTGTTCTCAAGTTTACTAAATTGACAAGTTTACCAAGACAATAATCACATTTACCTATGAAACAGATATCTAATATTGGACAATTCTGTTTTGCAAAAAGATTGCCCCAATTCCAGTGAGGATTATATATACCTGCCACAGCTCATTCGTTAATATCTATCAATTTCCCCTTTTCAAATCAAGAGATATTTTAGAAGGGGAACTTAGGAAGAAATATTCATCTCATTATGAATAGTTTGCTATGAGTTAAAACAACTAAAATCTTCAAATCTCTGCCCAAGTAGGAAGTCATTCTGCTCCCCACCCCCAACTTTTAAAGTCAAAGGGAAAGTTTAAAAGCCGAGGTACAAATATTTTCCCACAAGGTCATCTCTCTATTGTTCTTTTATGTTACTAATATTATCTCTTTCAAAGCACACTGACACCTCAATACTTCTAATAGTTTTAGGTCATCCTATAAGGTAATCATCTAAAAATAGTCAAACTACAAAGTTCTCATTATTTAACCCATTGCCAGTACTACAATTTTTAAAAAAAGTGGTCTATCCCTGACTACTTAACTTCTGAAACTGACATACAATCTTTTAGCCATATATATTTTTAGAAAGAGTATTTAAATTTGCTTTTACTAAATAATTATATAAAATAACCACTTTTCCCCTTAAAAATGTATCTATTAAATCCTGCATAAGCATTACCATGTTTCTCATAGAAGCCTTGACTAATTCTGAAAACAGGAAATTATTATGCTTAAATGATACTTGATTATTTCTACTTATGTTGGTGGAAAAGATAACTCCAAAACAAACACTCCAGTTCTGTGCCTTTTGATACCATTAATGCCCTTCAACTAGTTCACTCCCAGATAATTTTTTGTAACTTTATCGCAGAACCAGTGAAAAACTATCCTATTTCTACTTATCTACTCTTTCACAATTATTTACCTGGAGAAGTATGTCAATGCATTTTAACTGAAATTTTAAGATAACTGTAGACTCACATGCAGTGCTTAAAAAAAAACAAAACTGTACACTTTGCCCAGTTTCCCCCAGTGGTAACATTGTGCAAAATTATAATAATATGACAGCCAGGGTATTGGCAGTGATATAATCCACTCATTTTATTCAGATTATCGCAGGTGTGTGGGGGTGTGTGTGTGTCTGTGTCAGAAAGAGATAGAGAGAGTATTAAGCTGTATGCAATTTCATTACCTACAGGTTCAAAGATCCACCAATGAATAGTACCAACACTGCAAAAATCCTGTGTTGCCCTTTTATAACTACATCCAGCTTCGAGACCCTCTTGAGACCCTAAGCCCTATACCTAACTCCACCAACCACTAGTCTGTCCTCTGTTCCTAACATTTTGTCATCTCAAAATGTTATATGTGTGGAATTATACAGTATGCACTCTCTTATGATCAAATTTTTTATTCACCATGATTCCCTGGAGCTTCAAGCAAGATGTTGTGTATATCAGTAGTTTGTTCCTCTTTATTGATGAGTTATACTCCATGGTATAGATGTAACATGATTGGTTTAATCATTTACCCACTGAAGGCCTTCTAAGCTAATTCCAGTTTTGGGCTATAAAGGTGCTCAGAACATTCACGTGCAAGTTTTTGTGTAAACACGAATTTCCACTATTCTGGGATAAATATCCAAGAGTGCAGTTTGCTGGGCCACATGGAAGTTGCACCTTTAGTTTTTTAGGAAACTGTCCATCTGTTTCCACAGTGACAATACCAGCAATGTCCATGTATCAATGTGTTTTCATCAGACTAAGTCCTACCACCTCATGATAGTGTGAGAAGCATATAACTGGCTCCACCTAAAAAGTAGGACAGTATGAGAGAAAGAATCTAATTATTTGCCCATTACCTGGAGAGAAATGCCTGAACCTCCCCCTCTGCCTGTATATTCCAAGTGGAAGCCTCATTTTGCTAGTTTAGAAAGAACACATACTTTCTTCTTGCAGACGAGCCATGATCTGAACATCAGTGAGGTCCTGTAATTTATATCCCATGGAGATAGAATCATCCTCCAATTCTGAAGTACTCAGCTCACTGTCGATAGATGACTGGGGACTGAGTGGGGAGCCCCTGGAAGTGTAACCTGAAACACAAAGGAAAAGTGTGTTCTTCCATCTGCAGGACTGATATCTATACATGCTTCACAATTCATATATAAACAGTCAGCAATTTGTCTCATGTTTTCATGTTACAAAAATCACCAACATGTCACCATTTAATGGTCAACGTGCACATCATGTGTACACAATTCATATATACAAAACCACTTGTTCATTGTTTTCAAATTGAATTTTCACAATTTAAAAAGTCACCATGTACTATATACTTAAATTGTTAAGAGGGTAGATTTCACATTATATTTTTTATCACAATAAAAAATTCACTACTGCTAAAATCTACATCCTATTAGATATGTATATATCTAAAGGCATGATATTATAAGAATATATATTCATGTATACTTTAATAATAAGACACACTTGTCTGACAGTAACTGATAATATATTTTTAAATTAAATTTTAATCTGGTCCATTTCTTAATGAGTACAAACAGCAGTGCTACAAATGGGTAAGAATATCACATCTAAAAGGCACACATACATATGCAGAAATATATACAACACCCACATAATATAGACCAGAGAGTAGTCACGGGAGACTTATAGCCACCCATGAGGATAAAAAAATCAATGGCTTCAGATAAAAGAACCAAAGAACAAATAGAAGAAGGCTATAGGAATGGAATCATACCAATGCTGAGAAAAATAAGAAAATGGTGAGATCCTCATCTCATAAAAAGCCACTATGACTATTTTCTTCTACACAGCCTTAGCTAAATTTAAAAGCTACCAGAAAAAAATTAAAAAAAATACAGACTTACAATCTTGAATAATAAAAACTACCTTAATTGTGTTTGACATTTAATTTTAAAAGCACATAAGCATTTGGAAATACAGAACTGCATGCATATACTTTTGCTAAAGAGGGAAGACTGTCTGCTACATAAAATTGAGAGCAGTAGATCAATGGTGTTAGAGTACAAATTAGTGCTAGGCCTTTTGTACCCAAAGTAAGTGTGCAGCACAAACTCTCCACTCTTAAGATTATTCTCAAGCTTTTCAAATGAAAGATGAATATTTAAGCCGTGTTTAGTAACTGAATTACAAAGCAAGCAGCTAGTCAAGAAGTTAAAATATTACCTGTTTTTTCAGGTGTTAGTATTGCTTTATTTGAGGTTTTAGAGAAGCTGGGAGTATTAATGCCATTGCTATAAGGGCTGAGTCTTGCAACAGGACTATAAGGAAAAGCCAGTGAGGCAGTTGAAGAGAAGAGACTCCGCCATCGGCTAGCTGTCACAGAAGCAGAAAATAGCAGCAGTTAGCTATATGGAAGCATATGTTGACTTGTCAGAAGGAGAAAGGGAAGAGAATAAAAAAAAAAAAAAAGACAAAGCAACTTTTCATAGGACTATCTTAACTGACTTCCACTTATCTAAATAAAAAATATATACAAAATAAACAATTTGTGAATTAGGGTCCTATTTATACATCCATTTTTAAAAAGTAAATCAATCTTACTTTGATTAAAGCCAACATGCCTGTATAATAATGAAAATTTATTTTGAGTTTCTACGTTAGAAATGTTTTCAATTTTCTATTTCCACATAAGGATTTAGTGTTTTGCAATATAAAAAAGGATTAGTGTCAAAAGAAAAACTCAAGTTTATAATCTTCCTAATCTTTAGGAATTAAGGGAAATGTTCTTAATATTAACTATATGTAATTCTATATTTTTTCTACTCAGTTAATATCAGAAAATGTTGATAAAAAACATTTTATGTAAATTCAGTATTGGATTATGGGAGGACTTAGAATGACTATTGTGTTTCCAAATGGCCTTGAGACCAAAACAAGGTTTAAAGGAAAAACAGTGTACAGAGTAACAGAGGGGTGTCTATACCAGAGCTTAACAATGACTATCCGGTACAGAGACTATTGGTGATCACTCGGATTTTTTCTTTAAAAAAAACTTCCAAATTATCTGCATTAAACATACATATTATTTATATAACTAGCTTTTCAAGGTAGGAATATACATGTTATTACTTTAATATTATTTTTTAAATTAATATAATGAACAAAAAGGAATTACACCAGCCATGGGCAGATGATCTCATTCTTACATTACCTCACTTGTCTAATTAATGTACTTCTCCCCTCCAAAATTACCACCCCTTGTATCTCCATGTTCTTGGGGTCACACACACACACACACACAAATCCCAAATCATAAAAGCTTAAGTCACACCAAACATGATTTACTCTCCTCTCATGAGATACAAATCAATGCGCTAAGCAAAATTCACTTTTCTGAAAAGTAATCATTTAGACATGTACTAAGCAGAAGGAATAATATAAAAAATATAAACAAGGCTAAACTTCAAGAAATAACTTGGTTTGTATTCACTGGGAATTTGACAAAACTTGAAAAACCAAGTATTAAAAGGACTGCTTTGAAATGCATGCCCCCAGACCACTTTTAATGAGCAATGCTAATGAGCAATCAGACAGCTGAAAAGTGCTTTAAAATGGGCAGTGGGATGGAGAGAAAAAAAAAAAACTGTGGGATGTGGACAGTCAAGAAAATAATCAGCTCCAAACTGGGATTCTTCAGATCCTTGCAAAACACCAAGTTTACTTAAAAAAAAAAAAAAAAAAATTCCTTTTACTTCAGAATCATTACGTACCAACACATTCTAACAATTACATTAAAAATATCTTTTCCTTAAGTATGTGGAAGAACTAGGCAAGGAAACCACATTCGCAATGACAACACTTTCAGAATCCACACATTTCATGAAACTGTGAAGCCTGGTTGCCAATTGACACCAGTCGTATATGTCACTTATCCAACCCGTAACTTACAGTGGTTAAGCAGCTTTTCCCAATCGGAGCCAGAACACAGACATGCACTTCCAGTTCCTTCTCTTCTATGTAGGTCAACTTGACTCCAGAATACACTACAAACTAGGGGTTAATAATGCAACACACACTAGGTAGCTGTTCTCACATGTTCAATCTCTATTATTCAAAGTTTCTCATTAAAAATTCTATATTTTAAAAGACCAATAGTTCTTTGTGACTGCTATCTTGCCTAACAGATGATGTTATTTTATACCAGTCTGATCACTTGCCAGGCAAATTACAGTAACTGCGTGTTCTCACCCACAGATGCGGGCGGCAGCACATCACAAGTAAGCAGCATTCATCACTCTGCACAATAACCACTGTGACCCAGCCTCCCTGCACAATTGACACAGTTATTGTGGCTATGACAGCAAGATCCCAACTAGGAACACAATTAGCGTCTATTGCAAGAAAGAATGCTCTACATTGTTGTTTAGCATTGAAGCTTTTCAGAAAGGGGAGGAAAATTATTGTAAAGGCAGGCTAACAAAACAATAATGCTCCACTAGTGCCCAAGGTTACAGTGGAGGAGGAGGAGGACAGGAGTGGAAGCTATCACATCCTAGTTGTTCTTCAGTACATAGCTAAAGAATTGTAACAGGAAGCACTTTTATAAAGAATAAAACAAACAAAAAGAACTTGTAAAAAAGAGCAATTTTATCTTTTTCAACCAATTATCTCAGTGGATTTTTGGTATATAAAATGATGTGAAATGATTCAAGAGGCTCAGTGATGACCGAAATAGCTCTAAAGAAAGGAGTGAGGCAATTTTGCCAAAAGAGAAAAAATGGGTGATCCATTTTTGAACAACAGTTAAATTTCCCTATACTCCTACTCCAGAGTTCTATTTATAAAAAAAGGGGGGGGGGGCGGTTCGCAAACTTGGAAGTGGCATAGACTATGCATTTTTTCATTTTATTCCAATCCCTAGAATAGCATCGAACTGGCCCCAAACAGGACTACACACTGAATCAATGTACGATACTTGGCACAGTTTTCTTTCCCAAATGCCTTAAGCTAAACTGCCTCCCAGGACACTTCTTTCTGCATAATCTCTGTAG
This sequence comes from Homo sapiens, assembly GCF_000001405.40. Classification (NCBI taxonomy): domain Eukaryota; kingdom Metazoa; phylum Chordata; class Mammalia; order Primates; family Hominidae; genus Homo; species Homo sapiens. Next base: position 77,740,337 of record NC_000013.11, on the reverse strand, counting down.
TTCTACCGCAACTTCCTTAACCACTCACCACCTCTCACCAGATTACTGCAACCTGCTCTTCAACAAACTTCCAGCCACCAACACTGCCCTGAGCAAACCTGTTCTGAATGTCATGTATTTTAACTGTGTTACTCTCATCAATTAAAGTACCGCAGGGGCTTTTCATCAAATGCAAGACCTTAAAGGTACTTCAGCTCATTTCACTACCACCCTTACAGACTGTCATTTATCTCATGCCCACCTCTACAGTGTCTCTGAAGCTACCCTAAGGATGCACCCTTATTGGTTAAACTTTATACTTCACCTCCCTTGTCTGACAATCATCTTCTACTGAATGAATGTGATAAAGTACTAAATTGTAGACTGATACCTCATTTTTTTTCAAAAATATAAGTTGAGGGTGACTAACGGTCTCTTATTTTTTGTACATTTTCAAAGTTGCTTGACTGAAAAGATAAGTTATAACACATCTGTGTAGTTATTTTTGTATACCATTAAGCAAAGTATGACCAAAAAAACTAGATTCGATAAATGCTCCCGTGATAAAATCAAGAAAATCATAAAAAGGCAGACGACAGAATGGGTTTAAGGAACAACCTAAGTTTCTTTAATTTGTCACACTGAAAATTATTCTGTGACCAACAAAAAGTTCCCAGAAACAATGACATTCCTACCATTGCTTGATCATCTTTGCTTAGACTCAAAGTATTCAAATTGTTGTTAAATAGACATGTCTCTACACATAATCAAAATCAAATTTAAGAAAGCAATTACTTAATTCACATAAAAGAAAAAACTGATTTAATATCTTAGAAGACTCAAAAGGTCGGTAGTGCATTAAACTAAAGAGTTCAAAAATAAAGCAACACTATAACATATTCTGGCAACAATCCTTTTCATTCTTCTCACTACAGTCATTTCAGTACCTAATATAAGACTTGGAACACAGTATGCACTCAATAAATGCTAAATGTGGTCAAAATTTTGGCAAGTTGACTAATATTTCCTTATCTCAAACCATTCTACCACTCCTATCCTGACATATAAATTACTTTGCCCAATTTTTTAAACTTAAGTATAATTCTGTTAACTCTGAAGACACATAATAGTCTAATTAGATGTTTCAAACCAGCTAAAATCTCGGTGAAAAATATACCTGGAGAAGCACTTCATTAATACTTTCTAGTAACTACTAAGTTGCTGAATTTTATATCAATCTTCCGGTTTCCAACTAAATGATGTTATATTACTAAGGCCTAGGATCTGTGTGACTGGGGTAACAAACATGGAAAAGTGGTTAAACAGGTGACACTAAGATGAGTTAGTTCCTACAGCACTGCATCGCACAGTTAAAAGGAAGGATTATGCCAAGCACACTAACCGGTGGAAAACCATGCAAGAAGGCAACAAAGCTGCCACCGAATTCTGGAAATGCTGCCATTTCCTGCAATCCAAGAAAGAGTTACAAAACGGCTGCAATTCTGTTTGGGCCGTTTGGTAGCATTTCGATACATTCTACTGTACACGGCATCTGGCTTGGTTTCAGTTAGGTGAGGAAGCCCTGGAGGTCAGGACCCTCACTCTTTCTAGTGAGTTCTAACAGGAGAGCCACATTTCTCATCAGGCAGAAGTTATTCTAGAAAACAAGCCCTCCCTGTGTCCATATCTTCTCACTGTTCAGCTCCCACTTATAAGTGAGAACATGCAGTGTTTGGTTTTCTGTTCTGCGTTAGTTTGCTGAGGATAATGGCTTCTAGCTCCATCCATGGTAGGAGGAGGGACAGCATTAGGAAAAATACTTAATGCATGCTGGGCTTAATAGCTAGGCTTAATACCTAGCAAACCCAATAAAAACTCATTAGCAGCAAACTTTAGGTCTGTTTCACTAAAATTCACAGCCTATTTTCTAAATAAGTCATGGTTTTGTATCCATGCTCATGGCTGTCTTCCCAGCTAGCCAAATTTATATTCTCCCTCATTCCCTAACCCAGGTTCTGCCTTGTGGAACTGGCCAACTTTTTATTTAAATCTTCATAAGTAATGCCGTGTACCTGAGAAAAAAATATATATATATGTATATGTATATATGTGTATATATATGTATATGTATATATGTATGTGTATATGTGTGTGTGTGTGTGGGTGTGTGTGTAGTGCTCCAGAATGATTCAGATGCCCAACGTTTACAACATCTAGAGTCATTCCTTTAATCAACATTTGGCAACAGATACTAAAAAACTTCAAAGGTCAGTCTCCAAGCAGTTACCTAAATATCTTCCACAGATACACACAGCATGTGGCATTTCCCTGCTCCACAGTCATTCCGAGAAGTCTGCCTGGCCCCTATACTCCCACCCACTTTTAAAAATTCATTTCTCTATTCATTTGAATAGGCACTAACTATTGTGGCTATAGCATATCAGATGCCCCAGGTGCTGACATGAATAAGATATGGTGACTGTTCTCCTCTCCTTCCCACTCCAGTTTCTAAAGACCAGCTACTACAGAAGACAGGCAAGTAAGGTGGAATATGATGTCATATTGTAAGTGCAGTAAAAGCACCATAAGGAGTACACTCAGAGCAAAGTAAAAGCAATGATTAACTTTCTGGGGGAATCTAAACACTTCAGGAGACATTAAGTTTAATGTGGCCCTTGAAGGTTGAGGAGCTTATCTCACAGGATATGATACCATTCTAAATAGAAGTAATGCATATGAAACCAAGAACACATGAAAGAGCAGTGTACAATCAGGGAATGGCAAACGTTTGGACTAAAGCATAGGGTATAAGAGAAGAGTTAGGGCTGGAGAGGTTGGTAGGTTTGGGTTTTGCACTGTCTCATATCTATACACATTAATGAACAGTTTATACTTTAATGAACAGTTAGTGTTTTGACTGTGAGAAGGTGAAAGACATAATCAGATTACATTTTATGAAGATGACATAAGTAGCCATAGAAATGATGAACTAAATGGGCATGGAGACTGATGTCTGGGAGACCAGTTAAGAGGCTTGTAAATAGACCTGGTGAGACATCATGAGGTCCTGAACAAAAGCACAAGCAGAAAATTTGGTGAGAATAGGTTCAATGAGCCACATTTGAGCTGAAGTGCAGCTATCTGGCAACCCAATGAATATAGGGAGTGGGAAAAAAAGAGACCGAAGCTAATGCTTTAGTTCTTAAGACACTGATGCCATCGCACATGGAGAGCATGAGATACTCATGTTTAGATTAAAAAAAAAATTAGTTGAACTCAAGATGGTTACTGGAAATGCCTACATGCTTGTGTCCAGTATGGAGTTGGAGTTCAGGGAAGAGGGCTAGAGAGACAAACAGATTCAGGGTACATCAACAAATAGGTGTTAGATGAAGCATGATTGAAATCACCCAAGGAGAAAATACACAAGGAAAAGAGAAGGGACTGGAAGGAACAATTTAGAGTAGACAGATGGAGAATGAGTAAAGGAAACTGAGAAAGATAATTTGGGGAGGAGAATTCCAGAGGCTCAAAGATGCATCCAGTCCCAACCAAAAAAAAAAAAAGACTAATGCAGAAGAGTTTCAACATGGGAGCTAATAGTTAATAGTGGCAACTACTCAGGGAGGGCATGTAGGATAAGGACTAAAAAGAGGCTACTGGCTAGAACAACCAGGCCACTGATGAGAGCAGATTCAGCAGAAGACATAAGGAAAAATCAGTGTTAGCAGGTCAGGCAGATATAAGGTGAGGAAAAAGTCTTTGAAGAGAGATTTGGCTATAAATGTTTTTGTTGTTGTTTTGTTGTTGTTGTTGTTTAAAAAAAGAGGGGGGCTGTAGCTTGAGGAGTATAAGGCTCAAGGGAGGATGGCTTTTAGGATCAAGGAGACTTGGAGATTAGAAATAACAGACAAGAGAAGAGTCTAAGGAAAAAGAAAAGCATGGAAAAAAGTTCCTGGAGATGAGAGGAATGGGACAGAGATTAGCTAGGGGGAACAGCCTTGGAAAGGGAGGGTTCTCACTTCCTCTGAAACAGGGAGGTAAAGACAGAATACAGAGAATGAGGGAGAGGAAGGTGAGTTTAAGGCTTTTTAATCTGTAAGTTACAGGCAATAAATATGCTGAGAATATTTATTCCAGAGGCTGGAATAAAGAACCTCATGTAGTAAAAGGCTAGGATGGCCACTACTGGAAACAAGGAAAATGGTTAACCATGAAAGTGACTGCCTGGGTCAGTCTGAAAAGCATATCTCTGGAACAATTCTAATCTCAACACAAGAGCTGAGATTGAAAATGTTAGCGTGTGCCTGCCTTATCATTCTGTAAAGGGTATTTATGTCTTACAGGTTCAGGTTGAGAGTGGCTGTGTGAGAGTCATATTGTTGTCAAAATAAAAAATTTACCATAATTAAGAGGAATTTACCATAATTAAGAGGAAAAAAAAAACCACCCCAGTGACTGAAGATAATCTTCCACTGGAGATTTTAGAAACCACAGGGAAGGTCCTGAGAAGAAGAGTTAGATGGGGTCTGGAAGGCTGTGTCCAAAATGAGAGCACAGCCACAGACTAACAGTGGTCAAATATTTTCTGTAAAGGGCCAGCTGATATTTTGCTGGCCATAGGGTTTCTGTCACACCAGCTCAATGCTGACATTATGGTATGAAAGCAGCTATTGAAAAAACTGAAATGAAAATGTTTTATAGAAGCATAGATACACTTAATTTATATACACTGAGAATTGAATTTAATATTCATGGGTTATGAAATATTCTTGTTTTTTTCAACCATTAAAAAACATAAAAGGCATTTAACATTTTACATTTTAAATGCTCTTAGGCCATACAGAACAGGCAGAAAAACAGATATGGCCATAGTGTGTCAACCCCGGGCTAACATATATTACCAGTTTTATAATAGTCACTCAGAAAAACGTGCAGGGCTGGAACCATAGCATCAGGTGTTGAGACACAGCAGTGATGGCTGACAGGATACTTCTTCACTACAGTTTTCCATAACATATTGTAATAAAGACCAAGAAAAGACTGAAAGGACACTTCAGTAAGAATTCAGATGCCCGAGTTCCAGTCTTCATCCTGCCACATACTAGCTTTGAAATTTGGAGCAAATCATAACATCTTAAATGTTGCAGTGTTCTCATATGAAAAAAAGTTATGTTTGTAGGAAGAAATAAACAGGCTTTTCATGGGTACAGGATGAAAGCCTGCAGCAAGCATTCACAAATGGTAATACTTTTTTTAATGAAATGTTATAGCAAGTTGTAGCAAAAACATTCTACATTCTTTTTTATTTATTTATTTATTTATTTTTATTTTATTTTGAGACTGAGTCTCACTCTGACACCCAGGCTGGAGTGCAGTGGCACGATCTCAGCTCACTGAAACCTCCACCTCCCAGGTTCAAGCAATTCTCCTGTCTCAGCCTCCTGAGTAGCTGGGACTACAGACATGTGCCACTACACCTGGCTGTTTTATGTATTTTTAGTAGAGAGGGGGTTTCACCATATTGGTCAGGCTGGTCTCAAACTCCTGACCTCAGGTGATCCATCCGCCTCAGCCTCCAAAAGTGCTGGGATTACAAGTGTGAGCCACCGCCCAGCCAACATTCTACATTCTGAAAGAAAATGTTCTAGAAGCTAGGTAGGAGAAAAGATTCTGTAGGAGTTTTCTACTTTTCACTTTTCCTGATTCTAAAGAAGTGTAACCTAGTCTTCTCAAAACAATGGGCCGGCTTCTTACACTGTATCTACCTAGACAACTATGGCGACTTAGTCTTTGCTCAGTTGTTACCAACTCAGAAGCAAAACTGAACTGTCTGACCTTCAAAAGCTTGGTCAGGATAGGTCAACAGTTCTTACTTATTTATCTTGACTCTTAATGATGTTCATTACCAGAGTTCTGGAAAATAAGGAAAAAGTAAGTGAAGCAAATCCTGCTTTTTTCTTTCTTTATACAACAGGCATGCAAGCCTCAGTTCCAAGCCAAACAGAGGAATCCAACTTCTAGTCCTTTATAAATACCAGTTACCGAATGGCCTAAGATCAGTGAAGGTAAAGGAAACATCAGCTCCTTTAAGAATTTTTTATTCTCCCTTAAATTGGCAGGGAGTTTTACCGAGAACACAGCATTCTGACCCAAACCCATAAACCACCAGGGCAGGAAAATCTCCATTTCCATAAACCATCCTCTCAGGTATAAACTTCTTAGGTGATATTATATCTTTACGTATTTAGAGCCTATAGAAATCCTTGGCACACAGATGTGCTCAAATGTTTACACTAAACTTTAACAAAAGAATTCAAAAACCAAGGTGAAGACAGCAATTTACTGGTTCACTCTCATAAACTCTGTCTGCACAGACTGAGATACAAGCTTTCTGGAAAGGCTGTAAGTTCACAGTAGGTAAGTGCTGCTGACTTGGCTCCAACCTGAGCAACCCTTCTGGAGCAGTAACATATGGCTTGCAGCTTATCTGATCCAATATTTTTTATTGGGTAAACTTGAGTAGCATTAGTTTCTCCACAGTGCTTGACGACCTGATAAACAAGCATATGGGGTCTAGGAAGTCCTACTACTTTGAAGCAGATGTTCACAGTACTCCTTCCCAGACATGCATGAAATACAGAGAATTCAACTGTAATGTATTTGTCAGTGTATTTACATAAGAAGGGTTGAAGAACTACTAAATGCACCTAATTGGTAGTCTTAGGGACGATTCAATCAAAGTAAGTTAGTCATTATACCCAAGTCTCACAGTCTTCAAATTTAGCTATGAAAAACTTATCAGAAAGTTAGTTTGTATCTTTTCCTGCAGTTCCCATTCATTCAAACTATGACAATGAATGTAATAACTTAAAAATCATTAACCATCATATATATGTATGAGTACCTATGATACCAGGATACTACAGATACTCAATCTTTAAACTTCCAATTTTACTCAAAATGTAATATTTTTAAAACATGATTTATATACCATCTTTAAGAAATACCCAATGCAAGAGTTCATTAGTTCATATGTAATTAATATGCAGAGTTAATGAAGAAAATCACTTTTGATATTAGGATTAAGCTTTAAAATATATTCAGTTCAAAAGTAACAAAGCAGTTGTATACTCCTGACAATTGGCAGGTAAATGTTTCATAAATATTTGTTGAATGAGAGTTACAAATTCCACCATGTTGCATAAGGAGTACTACTGAATAACATTTATTCCACGGAAATCAGAGTTTTATAATTATTCTTGACACTAAGTTTAAAAGGTCAAGTGTTTCTTAGGTTTTAATAGGAAACATAATCTTAATGGATAAGGCATCTAATCATAATTAAAGGATTAGACCTTATCTACTTCTCAGATCTTAACCCACTGCACGATCACACATCTAATGCTCTTCCCTCATGACTATTATCGGATCCTTCTGCGGGACTTCTTTAACCAGGACAACAGTCTCAAAGTAGAGCTGAAACATAAAGGTCAGAAAGGGGAAGTTATCTTGACTATCAACTTGTTTCCACTTAATCATTGGTCAAAACTGAAGATAAGACAACAGCTTTAAGCACACCAGATCAAATCCAGTATTATCCAGGACCAGAGTGACTGCTACAACTTCACAAGTCATCTTCTGACTTCCCATCTGCAATTAATAGTGGAGATTTAAAAAAAAAAAATGTAGTAGTAATTACACTTCAAAGGCATGTTTAAAAATTCCCTTTTATAGAAGCCATTTTCCCTTTAGGTCTGTGTGTCTGCTATAGTTTAAATCAAACTTAATAATTTAATCTTAAAAGAACAAAGAAGAAGACTGATCTAATAATTTGGCAACGATGAGATGTTGTCAAACAGATTACAGACGGCTGCTTCCAATTTAGACTACAGCCACAATGCAAGCTGACAACCAGCTAGAATAACTTACAGGTTCTACACTGAAATCATGAGGTAAGGTAAGCAATATGTTACAGAATCTAATTACATGAAGAAATAGGCTAAATAATCTCATGCTGAAAACAGAGGGCCCTCCCTCTGAAAGGACAGACTAGATTTTTACTAAGAGTCTTCACGCCTATGACTGGGTAAAGTGTGGTGGCAAATCCAAGCTTTTAGAAAGCACTGTCAGTTATTGAATGGAAGAGTGATGAGAAGAGAATTTGTATAATCCTTCCTCCCCAGTGTCTCTGATACTAAAAGACTCTTCTTTGAGTTATGGCTTATCCCAGTAACAGAAAAGGCCTCTGACCCACTAATCTTAAGAGACGATAGAAAGTAAATATACAAATTCAGAGTTCTGACCAAGGGAAAACTATCTTTGGCCCTAAAACTAACCCATTCATGATTTTATTAAAATACCTGCACACAAAACAACACTAAAATATACATTAAAGGCCTAAAACAGGAGTCTCTTTTCCTTCCCCACCCAGGCCCACTTTCCACTTTGTTTTTCATAATTTCAATACAATTACATAATTAGTATATAACTTTAAATAGACAATAGAAAATCCAATCATCGCCTTGTTGGTATCTGATTTCCCACCATGAAAGGTTATTTAGTATATATGCACCTTCTCCGTATCCATCTCCAGATTTGACAGTTCTATTTTTACACTGTCAAGGTTTACTGGATTTTCATTCTGTTTTATAGCTGTGATTGGGATAGCTATAAGGTGATCACTAGATACGACAGGACCAAGGTAAAGAAAGTAATTTTTCTGCTCTAGAACACAACTACCAGGTGAAGAACATCACAAGCCTGAGAGTCAATCACTGTCTTATTTCATCTTCATCTTTCTCAGCTTCTCCTAGGTCATCTCCGAGGCTACTGTTTTCTAGATCTCATGTGATCTTTTTTCCTTGTACGTTTCCCACTGTTAAAATAGGGTGCACAAAGGGTAAAACTTTCAACCATTTTAAGATAAAATCCAGACTTTGCATAAGCAAAAGTTTCTTTTGCTCCTACACTTATTTGCTTCGGTACAGGATTATAGTTTGAAAATAACTTTCTTCCTTAAAACTTTAAAGACAATATTAATTTTTTATCTAGCATCCAATATTACTTATAAAATGTCTGAAATTTGTTATACTATAGATAAACTCCCAATAATGTTCAAATGAAGGAATAGTTTATCTTTAATTCTGGAAAATCTGAAATTCAATAACCAGGAGATCTAGGTGCATGGCTTTTTTTCATCTATCTTAGTTCATCCTGAGGATCTGTCAAAGAAATTTTCTTCTATTATTTACTGATTATTTCCTTTGTTCAGTACGTTCCTGCTTCTAGAACTCCTGTTAAAACATGAGAGGTTCTGGGTCTGTCTTCTTTTGTCCCCTCACTTCTCTCATATTTTCCATCCCATTTTGGTAGATTCCTTTGGCCAACTTTCAGAGAAGCAGCTTGGTTCTTAGCCCTGTCCATTCTTCCTTCAATATGTCTAAGAAATTAAAAATGACCAAAAAACTTATGATTTAATTGCTTGTTTTCCCAGCAGGTATCCTTTTACTGATCCAACTTCATTTATCTGAAAATGCTATAAAAATGGAAGACCAGACTGAGCATGCATATGCAAATACATATACACAAGTACAGGACACACCCGATGACAGCAAATCTGCATTTCAAAAGCCTAGTAAATTTAAATACACTGTTTCTTGAAATACAACCTTACAACTATGACAGTAGAAAAAAATTAAACTCACAAATTGACAAGAGCTCCAAAACTCAAATATATTAAACTTATTACTATATAGAAGTTTAAAGCTCCCAAATATTATAAATAATTGAGAACATCAACAAATCAAACCCTTATGTTTCCGAAGTAAATTAAGTGTCACGAGAACTTGGCCACATTTTCATCTACCATTTCTCACATTAGTCACATAAGAAATTTGGGATATTAATGAAAAAGAAGAAAACATTCCCAAGTTTATCTAAGACTCTCCCTTAAAAATTGCTAAAGCCTAACCTTACCCATGTTCCAAAGAATTTCTAAAACCACCATTTCACTCTCCACAGTTCACCAGATTTCCAAAAAAGGCTCTGCCTTCTAAGACAATTCAGGTAATATCCTGTAGCTTAGCTGTTCAGTTACATCACTCCTTTACTAAAAATTATTCAAAGGTTTTTCAACCATTTTAAGATAAAATCCAGAATCTTTAACTGCCCTGAAGACGCTGCACACATGTCTAGTTTCTAGTTTCATTTAGAGTCATTTCCCTCCATTACACCCCAACCACAACAGCCTGCCGTTTCCTCACATTATGTCCCACTGCAGGGCCTTTCCACATGCTATTGCTATCCTTCCTCTCCAATGTCTCTGAGACTGAAAGACTCTTCTTTGAGTTATGGCTTATCCTAGTGACAGAAAAGGCCTGGGACACTCTTCCTCACCTCCTCCTCCCGTTGGATGGACGAACAGATGGACACACGGACACACACACACACACACAGAGTTACTGGCTTAACTCCCACTGACTCTCCGGTCCCAGCTGATGCCTCACGTCTTTGGGAAATCATTTTCTGATCATACCCCTGGGTCAGGCTGCCATTCGCATCATTATGCTTCTTTTATGGGACAGGAAGAACAAAGAACTGCTATCTTGTCATCTGTTTTTTGCATCAGAATGCATGTTCCCAAGGCCAGGCACTGAGCTCATCTTGCTTGCCACTGCACCCTGTATTTAGCACTGACTGTACCTAATAAGTACTCAACACATTTCATGTATTGTAATCATCTGATCAAGCCCCAGTGTTTCAGAAAAGAGAGTCTAGAAAGTCTTGCTTTAAACCTGACTATTCTGTAGAGGTCCCAAGAAACAGGTACCAACACCTACCAAAAAAAAAAAAAGAATTTCACTATGATAGAGTCAAATTTAATCAACCGTCACAGTAGTATGAAAGCAGTAGACAACTACTTTGGGAGAATCTCTATTGTTTTATTTTTTCCTTGGTGGAGATAGGTAACAAAATAGCATGTCAATAATAAATTCACCAGAACAACCATTATTGTTTATTTTGAAAAACACTTTTCGAATCATGGTAGAAATGCAAAGTGAAACCAAAGGAAAAAAAAACACATGGAAACACAAGTACAAATTAGCAAAAGAAAAAAGGATTACTTAAGGAAATTTGGCAAACACATATCAGGTTGTAGGGTATAATGGACTGAAACTGCAAATTTCATAGAAGCACAATCCCTTATTATCTGTTACTGTACTAAATCATTGCCAATACTGAAGTAAATGCACTGGGGCTATTCTGAACATAAGAGCAAAGCAACATAAAGATGTGATGAAATCCCACAGCTATGACAATGCATTTTCCATTTTCAGCACACAGGAATGATAGCATGTATCAGGAGACCCTGTCTCTGCACAAAAATTCCAATATGATTCCAGATTGTTTTTCCAGTGAGAAAAGAAATTCTTTACAAAGCTTACCCAAAATGAACCTCACAGACTAAGTTTTAATTTTGTGTTCCAAGTTTGACAGAGCATCTCGAGACTAGAAATATGAGCTAGTGGAGATAACATCTTGGGCCAAGCAAGGAGAGACTGGACAGGTTCCAGAAGACAGACATTTGATAAGCTTAATGTCTCAGTTCAATCTGTGTGGATTTTAACAAAAGAAAGGGTCACTCGCAGAACTGTGGATTAGTCTACAACTTTCTTCTTCATCAGCTAAATTTGGACATTAACACTCCTTTATAACAACTAAAATAAGATTGGGAACTGGTACCATATGAAGATAAAAGAAAAACTCAATGAATGGGGTAATTTCTATTCACATTTCCTTAGTATCTAATCCCAGAGGAAATGACAGATGGTCATAGCGAAACATGAGCCAAGGATATAATTGTGTAGGCCTCCACTATTTGTGAAAAGTACACCTACTCTGCTCAAATGTGACCTGTCCTGATTCAATAGTTATAGACATTCAAGTACCTTAAGCCAAGATAAGCTTTTATTAACTGGCCCCAAATTAACTGAGCCACATTTTGGGCGTTTCAAATTACTTAGATAAGCCTTTGATCATTATTTGGTTATTTAACATCCCAGCCTCATGCGTGAATTTACCAAAGACCCTAGATTAGCCTTATTTCAATTTAGGATATCAAGTGAGCTAATCCTACCCATGAAAGTTCTATGCAGTTTTGTTATTTTTATTCTAAAGGGGTAGAGGGGGGTTAGAAAGATGGGCGAGTTAGAAATGGAATACACACAGATCTAATAAAAAATAAAATAAAAACAACCAACTAAAGAGATTGTTGTAGATTTTCTATGTTGAATAATAAACTACACTTACAAAATTTTTCAGTGTAAGATCCCTAACAAATACCTGTATTTGTAGGTAGAGAAAACAGATACCCACCCTCTGCCAAAAACACACTTAGTTTTCTATGAAGTATAAGTAGCCAGGCAAAGAGGATTCCCTGTATTTTATGTTCAATTTCTAAATGAAAATCTGTACATTAGGAATGTTTCTGTATATGTAGTACTCCACATTTCTGAAGTAATTTCACATCCAATATTTCCAGAAATCTTTCTAAAATAGCCCTGTGAAATCTGCTAAATGTCCCCACTTACTAGGCAAGGCCCTAGAAATAAGGACAACCATCTCAATCACAGTGGAGCAGGGATGAGGCATAACTATTAAGGTGAAAACTTCCACCATATTCACTCCTTCAACAACTAGCATACAACACCTACAGTGCGATGGGAGTTATTCCAGGCACAGAAAGGGTCACAGCAATGAACAAAACAGACTGAAACCCCCACGCTCAGAACTAACACTTTAATGAACACCACTCTGTTTTGGTTTTTTGAGGGTTTTTGTTTTTTTTTTTTGGCTTGGCTAGTAGGATGCCATTTACAACACCAAATGTTCAATGAAAATTGTTTTGTTTTTTTTTTTGCCCAACTTAAAAAATTTAAACATACTCAAATTAGTCAATCACACAAAAAAAATTCAGTACTTAAAACATGCTGAAAAATTTATTAAGCACTGGCAATTCAAAAAACAATTTTAGGTATAGACCTCCATCTTCAGATGCTTAATCTATTTGGAAAAAGTCACATACATTAACAACTAAATAAAAAGAAGTTCACAAAACAGGGTGCCTCGAAATAGAAAGCAAACATCGTTAGGACCATCTTCAAAAGAGGAAAACCAACCAAGATACTGAGCTTTGTTGAAGACTGCATACTCAAATAAGTGGCCAGTGTTCTGGGGGAAAAAAGAGAAAGATTATTCTATTCTAGGCTTTATTAGTTAACTTTATACCAACAGACTGCAGATTTAGAGATGCCAGGAGATTTTAATTTCCAGCAATGTTATTTCACTTTTAACATTACTTTCTGTAAATTATCCAAAAAAGCCATTTACACTATTCACATATAAGGGGGAGACACCTAATATTTGAGCCATTATCTCATCTAATTTACAAATATCTATTTCCTTATAACAACACTACAAAATAAATACAAATGTAAAAGAGGCTGAGAAAACTTAAGTAACTTGACTGTGCTGACTACATGATACACAAGACTTTATAAATTGTAAAATCTGAATATTAAAAGATCAGCTTGGAAAAGAGGATAGTAAGTTTTGCAATTTATAATAAAAAGTTTCTTAGGGCCAAGCACAGTGGCTCATGCCTATAATCCCAGCACAGGGAGGCCAGGTGGGCAGATTGCTTGAGCCCAGGAGTTCAATATCAGCCTGGGCAACATGGCAAAATCCTGACCCTGCAAAAAATTTGCCAGGTATGGTGGCATACATCTGCAGTCCCAGCTACTTGGGAAGCTAAGGTGGGAGGGTCACCTGAGCCCAGGGAGGTCAAGGCTGCAGTGAGCCGTGGTTGCGTCACTGCACTCCAGCCTAGGCAATAGAGTAAGACCCTGTCTTTAAAAAAAAAAGTTTCTTAGATCCAAGTCAATTAATATTCCCTATAAGAATTAGGGGTATTAGATACATATTAGTCATCTGTAGGAATATACTATATGCACTAAAAATAACTATCTTATTATATCTTTTAAAAAATATTTAACCATTTGCAAAATTGTGGTTGTGAAGACAACGTATTTTTTAGCAATATTTTAAAAACAGTGATAATGCAGGTGCTGTCTCCCTACAAAATTAAATCTTATAAAAATCCCTTTCCTTCATTTTCTTCAGAAAAAAAAACTTTCTGCAGAAGGGCAGAATTCTAATAAGCTTGTTCTCACAATCTCAAGACAAAGCTTAACTGTGTCCCATACATTCTCTCATAACTTAGCAAGTTTTGTTATCTAGGTCCAGGGTCAAAAGTTGTCAGATACATCATGAAAGCTTTTTGAGGAATCTATGAAATCACAAATGTAGGCAGCAAGAAGAGAAATAGGCCTGGGCCCTGCAAGAAGTTACAGTACAAATAAGCTCATTAGCAATTGTGCAGTTAGAGACAATCTTGGGAGAAATGCAGCCAGATGGACCTACAGAAACCAACCTTGACAAACCCTTACTCAGATGGCTTCCTGGGGATGCTTACTCCATAAACAAGGAGGGACGGCTAACTTACCACCGTGGCTAACTTGCAGCCAAGAAAACAGACTGGGCTAACGGCCTAGGGTAAAGAGGAAATAAGGTAGAAGAGGGTTTAAGACCAGCTCTGCCCACCAGAAACATTCTGGCTCCTCACAGCTATGCCCCTCTCCACATTTCCTACAAAGGAATTAATCTTTACTTTTTGAAGAATTTTCTTTTCAAAACATCAAGGTCAAAAAAGAGGAACCAAGTTTCGAAAATATTTGCTCAAATATTACATAAGCAGCAGCATCTCATCTGAAGCTCCAGGCTCACATTAAGGAACTTTTACCTATCTGTCAATGAAAGAGTTAAGAGTATGAGAGACAAAAGCATAATGCAGAGAGGAAGAGGGTGAAAAGGAGAGGGTAGCTTTACCCTTTGTTTACCTCTCATCACTCCTACTCATGGCTGTGAATTTCTTAGTGAAGTGTCTTTAATTTCTGTGTATACAGAGGGAGATGTATAACTCCTAAGGACTTCAATTAATCACTTTGCAACAAAGTGTGTAAGATAAGTAGAAAGTGACTGTTTTAGAGTAAACATGCTTGTGAATGGGAAAGCAATACTGCAAGCTGATACTTCAACTGATGCTAGTCTATGCCCTGAATATAAGAGGTGGCTAATAAGGAAAATGTTGCAAGGACCCCGACCCATCTTAAATTATTCAACACCAAAACTGAAACAGTAGTAATAGTTACATTGGGCTCAAAAAAACATTCATTTACTTTAGCAACAGCATCTATTTTGTGTCAGGTACCCTTCTAGGAATTAGAGAACTGGTGCTCAACAAAACAAAGTCCATTCCCTTGGGCAATTTATATTCAAATGAAAAGAAACAACTCTAGTCTCAAAGAAAACACTCAGTAATATCTGTTACTCAAAAATGCGGACTGCCCAAGGGAGAAATTAAGTCTAAGCAAAAAGAAAAATAAAATGACGAGTTACTGGGTGCAGCACACCAACATGGCACATGTATACATATGTAACAAACCTGCCCATCATGCACATGTACCCTAAAACTTAAAGTATAATAAAAAAAAGAAAAATGCTTTATTAGAGAATTATTGAAACCAAAAATATGGAAAGCTCGCATTATTCCAATTAAATCTTTATGTTATGAATAAAGTGTGGGTCAAAACCATAATTTTTGATATCTGTCAATTAACCATCATTGACAAAGGACCCCCTTAATTGGAAGCCAGTAAGTATTCTTCAATATGGGGGATTAACTATGAATTCCTCCCTATTCTCTTATAAAACCACACTACAGTAAGAGTTAAACTCAAACTCTTATAAAGCCATAGGAAGACTGAACGGGACAGGAGACAATTATCACACTCGGGATGGTCACAACATCTTAGAAATGAAAAGCGGAAGAGACTTGGGTTTTGACATCCTCTGTTCTATGGCCTTACAGCAAAAAGAAACTAATAAGGACCTAGCAAGGTTCTGGAATCGTAGGTGCGAAGTACCACAGAGGGTAGGGAGTTTTGTGGTGAAGTGAAAAAAACCAGGTGACTGAAAATCTATAGGAAAGCACCTAAACCCTCCAGCTCCCCACCCCGCCTGCTCAGGCAACTGCTCCTCTCCTACTTTGATCAAAGACAGGCTTCATTACCTGAATAAACTGAAATAGAAAGCCACTAGATTTTACAAACACAAATAAAAATACCTTACAGATCTGGAGGACTAAGTGAAAATCTGAATACCAGAAGGTGAGCTCAATGAGGGCAGAGACTTAATACCTGTGCTGTTCACTGATGCATCTCCATCACCTACAATGGTACCTGGTACATAGAAGTCACTCAATATGCAGCAGTAGAGTTTAGAAGATGTGTTTTTTTTTTTTTTTAATCTCCAAAAAAGTAGAACAACAGCAACAAAATCAAGAATAGAAAGCCAGAGAGAAAAATATAAAATTTGAACATCAATCTAGGCGATTCTGACCCACAGAAGTATCTAGAAAGAATAGAGAAAACAAGGGCGGAGGGCTACGAATACAAAGAAATAATGCAAGAAATTTTGCAGAACTAAAGTTTATAGCACACACAAAATAAATGAAATTTCAGAATACCAAGAATAAAAGACAATATTCTAAAATATTCATGTTATTTTAGGTAGAAAGGTCACAAATAAGAATCAGAAATAAGAACGGTGCTGAACTTCAACAGCAACCCCGAAGCTAAAATATAATGGAATAATGCCTTCTAAACTCTGTGGGAAATGGTTTTTAACCTAGAATTCTATACCTAACCCAAATAACAATCCTGCATAAGAGTGAAAGTAGGAATAAAGATGTTTTGAAACACAGGAGGTTCTCAAAATTTACCTGCCACATATCCTTTTTCCCTCTACTCTCCCAAAAAAGCAAATGCAGAAATATTCGTTTCTTTTAATGGAATAGAAAGGAAAGTACTTGTATCTCAGAAGCAGGTAATATAGCACTGAAGAGGGGCCAGAGAAATTCCCAGGATAAGCAAAAGAAAGTCCCACCATGATGGCTCTTCAGAGGCTAAAGATGACTAGTTCCAAGTAGAGTAAGAGAATAGGGCGCTGCCTGAAGGAACAGTAACAAAACAAAATTCTTGGATTTATGTGTCTCATACTGCGGATGGTTCATCAAGAGAGTTTGGGGATAAATTAATGACAAGGACCCTGTCTTATAAATTATAACAGCAACAACAACAACAAAACTAGGTGTCTTTTTCCAATTAATTCTGAAAAAAAATGTTAGATGGGCTGGGCACAGTGGCTCACGCCTGTAATCTCAGCACTTTGGGAGGCCAAGGTAGGTGGACTACCTGAGATCAGGCATTCAAGACCAGCCTGGCCAACATGGTGAAACCACATCTCTATTAAAAAATACAAAAATTAGCCAGGCGTGGTTGCGTGTACCTGTAATCCCAGCTACTCAGGAGGCTGAGGCCAGAGAATCCCTTGAACCCAGGAGGCAGATGTTGCAGTGTGCTGAGATTACACCACTGCACTCCAGCCTGGGCACAGAGCAAGAATCTGTCTCAAAAACAAAAAAGTTAGATGGAAAAAGAAATGATAAAATATTGCATGGCTTGAATATAACTTTCTATCATAATATATACTGATGTCCCCTAAAGGTAGTAAAAGGTTACATAGAAAGGACATGCAGAGAAAAAATATAGAAGTGAGGTGTAAAAGAATTAAATCTTCACCATCCAAAGTCAAAAGCCAATGGATAATGTTTAAAATGAAAAAATTCAAAGCAATGGCCATATAAACATGGAATTTAAAAAGAGAGGTAAACAGTAAAACCAAAACAAATAGCTTTTCTTAAGTATATCTGGGAAATAAAAAGGGCATGAGAGATTGGGGCAGCAATTTGATATTTGTCTTATAACAGTTGTAAGACTATTTTTTAAACTATATTTTATAAAATATAAGTTGAATTTTTTAAAAAAGAATTTTCTCCAGTAAACAACCTAATTGGTTACTTCTTATCTCAACAGGATTATGGATTATGGATCTCTGGAATAAAAACATTTAGTGTCACAGCAAAAGAAGTTTTGAGTTTATATACAAATTAAGTAAAAGACTAATTTTGGTTTTGAAAAACTCGTTCTCTAAACTTTTACAGGAAGTTTAAATAAATTACATCATGAACAAAACTGCAGTATGCCAGTTCCTATCCTCATGACCTCACGATTCTGCCTGAGCTCCACATCAATGAAAGGAAAATCGGATAATGAAGCACTTAGTCTAATATCTCAATAGCAACCACCAATTAGGATTACTTTTTAGAAAAGAAAAAAAAACCTAACCTTATATGTAAATGTATCTAGTGTGCAAATGACATAATGCTTATATGTATGTAAATCTATCTAGTGTGCAAATGACTTAATGCCGGGGTGGGTAAACTGTGGCCGAGAGTACCCCAAATCCAGCCCACTCCTGCTTTTGTAATAATTCACCAGCTAAGAAATGTTTTCATATTTTTTTAATAATTGGGAAAAATATATACATTTTGTGACACGTGAAAAACCACACAAAATTCAAATGTCAGGGCTTGTAAATAAAGTTATATTGGAATGCATCCTCATTCATTAATTTCTGCATTGATCATTGTTTTCTGGGCATGGCTAAGTTGAACAGTCATGACAGAGATTATGTAGCCCACAAAATCTAAAATATTGACTATCTATCTCCTTTCAAAAAAAAGTTTGTTGACCCCTGAGATAAAGGACTAATTCTGAATTCAATTTGAATTTTACTTCAAATTATTGAGCCAAATTTGTATGTTAAAATGTAGATATAAGTCACTGAGTCAAGGATTAAGTAAGGAGGCTTAGGAATGGTCTATATAACCCTTCAAAGAGTTAATCCAAAGGGATTTAATGGTTTGTGTATTAGTCTGTTCTCACACTGCTACAAAGATACTACCTGAGACTGGGTAATTTATAAAGAAAGGAGGCTTAATTGATTCACAGTTCCCCATGGCTGGGGAGGCCTCAGAAAACTTGCAATCATAGTGGAAGGTAAAGGGGAAGCAAGGCACATCCTTACATGGTGGCAGGAGAGAGAGAAAGTGAAAGAGCGAGGAAGTGCCACACTTAACACCATCAGCTCTCATGAGAACTCCCTATCATGAGAACAGCATGGGGGAAACCGCCCCCATGATCCAGTCACCTCCCACCAGGTGCCTCCCTCTACATGTGAGGATTACAAATGGAGATGAGATTTGGCTGGGAACACAGAGCCAAACCGTATCAGTTTTCTTCGAGTCACTTAGGTAAATGGGAACAGAATGAATACTACAGCCTCCGACTCTGAGATGGCTGCTCTGTTAGATGAGCATCTATCACCAAAGTTTTAACCCTAACATGCCTTTGTCCCTACACTGCTCTTCAACTTTCCATTATTAAGTCACCTGTTTCATTTCAGTTAAAATGTTAATAAAATACATTCTTTCATCCCACCTTCCGAGTATTTAACAGATTTCTGTTGATATTTACTTATGACCATGCCAATACGGCAGTACAGAATACTAATTAAGTATGGAGACTCTGGTTTCAGAGAGACCCTGGCTCTGACTCTGTCCCTGAGTATCATTCTGCCTTGTAACCCTGGGAACTTCTCTAAACTTCGTATTTCTCACCTCTAAAGATGAGTTCAGTTACACTGAATAAGATGAAGGATGTCAAGAATGTAAAGGTAATGAATGTCATAGAATTAAGAGCTCTTGAAGCATTATCTATAATGCTTTGTCTTATGTCCAAACATGTTATTCATTATCCTCAAAGAGCTTCATGGGCAGCGTTCTCAAATATCAGTGTACATGAGAATCACACTGGTGAACTTCTCAATGCAGACTCCCCTGACTCTACCCTCAAACAGTATCATTCTTTAATCTGGAGGCTCCGGAATCTGTACTTTGAAGCTCATGTATGATTTGGATGCAGGTGGTCCATGGAATAGAAACAGTGTTCCCAGAGGATCAAACAGATGCCCAGAGGTTAAGAGACAAGCCAAAAGCCTACATAATTACAGCTTCAAGTAGTTCCCTGCATCAAATAGCAAGGAACTGAGTACCACTCATTCATTTTTGCTGTTTTTCCAACTGCCCTTTTTTTAAATTTAAACTTCTGTTAGGCTCCATAAGTTAATTAATGTTACAGACAATATGAAGATTTCTTAGTTTTTAAAGGTTAGCACTTCCAGTTATACATCCAACTAAATGTTAAAGACACTCAGTAAGGTCAGTACTCAGATCCCCATGAAATCCTGTTTTCTGCCTTAGAAAACAGCCACACAACCTTGTTACTGACCCCAGAGCACTGATAACTGACAATTTTTTTGACTGGTATATTTGCAAACAGAAAAAAAAAAGAAATAAATTTGTGTGTTCCTACATTGCAATATGAACTAAAGCAAACTAAAAATATGGCTAAAATCAAGCACAAAACTAAACACATCTTACATTGAGAAAGCTTGATGTGTAATACATGTGAAGCAAATTGCATGCAACAGCTGCACCTCAGGGTAAGAATTTTCAATTGAAATGTTTATTCCAAAACCAGCAACAAAAGCAGCACTGAGAGTGACAAGAGTTGGAGAATGTAAATGCACACACTCACAATTACCTTGCTCCAGTCTAAAGCACAGGGAACGTCTCGCTGCTTCCATCTCAGGAGTTGGGTTATCTAGGACATGTCTACACCACTGCAAAGGAGTCAGGGATTTCTCTGATGAGGTGAACGTCTTTGAAGAGCCAATGTATAACCTTAAAAAAAGAAATCTACATTATAGGTATGATATAGGTATACAGAGAGTACCTCTCTCTGGGGAAAGCAACATGTATTTAACAATTTCCATAGAAACAGAACTCATATTTGATGACTTCAAAGTATCAGAAATAGTTTTTAACAGGCAAATATCCCCAAATAGAATATGACACTTCCTGTAGCCTGGTGAGAACTTCCAAAAAAAGGTCTAACAATTTTCCCCCTAACTGTGTGTTTCAGCATCAGAGATCAAGGGCTTTTTTTTTTTTTTTAACTAAACTAGCCCTAAAAAGGCACTATCATGATCTTACTATCTCTATTGACATGTCAAGAAATGAACATTTTCATCTTTCTCTTTGGCAACAGAATCTTTTGTAAACTTGGGCTAATGAAGGTAAACATGATGTGACAAACAAGGCAAATCTTATGTGTATTTTTTAAAAATAAGTCTAAACACCCGTAAAAGCCAGTCACTTGATTCTTTGAACCCTTACATAATCACATATTTCTCCTGTCTCAAATCTATACTAACCTTGGTATATGTTTCTTTTTCATTAAAGCCAAACAAAGAGCTTTAAAAGATATGTTTTACGAAGACTTCACTTTCAGCACCTACACAATTACACAGTAATGGATAGTATTCAAAATGACTACCCGGAGGCACTGCAAGTTATAAAAAAGCTTCTCTCATTAATATGCCATGTTAAGGTAGATTTTAGAATATTTTCAGTGATAGGGCTATACAGAAAGGTTTATCTTGAGGAATAAACAGCAGTTAACTAAAAAAGGGGGGAGGGTGAATTACCTCCCCAAAACTGCTGGCTCTAATACGTGACACCTTACTACTATAAGCTTACATTAATTACAAATCTAAAGTAATCTTCTTTCCAACAAAGCTACCACAATTCTAATAAGCACATATTCTTGAAATAACATACTTCATTATTCATACTTTCACTGTTCTAGACAAAACGTTCACCTATTAGAGTAATTTATCAGTTATACAAGATGGTTGGGGAATGTACTATTCTTCAGTAAATTATTCTTACAGATCAGGGATTGCCAAATGTTTTCTGTAAAGGACCGGCAAGTAAATATTTCAGGCTTTGTAAGCCACATGATCTCTGTCACAACTACTCAGCCCTGCCATTCCAGTCCAAAGGCATCCTAGACAATATGTAAGCGAATAAACGTGGCTGTGTTCCTTTAAAATTGATTTATAGACATTGAAAGTTGAATTTCCCATAGTTTTCACATTCTTTGTATTTTTTTTCATCATTTAAAAACATAAAACCGTATCTTACCCACCATACAAAACATGCAACGGCTCTGATTTGCCCTTGAGACAGTTTGTTCACTCCAGTTACAGGTAAGGACTCTAAAATATAGATCTCAATGGATTTAATTGTAAGTCCAATATATTTTTTTTTTTCCTTAGAGTGTGTTGCACAGTTGTGACTCCATCAAGAGTATATATAGTTAAAAATCATATTCTTGGGCCCCAGCTCAGTCCTACTATGGCAAGATTATCACCTACCTATGTAGGTAATAATCCCTTCCACTTCCTTGCAACATAGCCTAAACTGCCCAGTACACGGTACTTCTCCCTACTCACAAGTATAGGTTAGTCCAGGCTAGTTATTCTCAATGTCTCATGCCTCAAAATTACTTAAACATCTTGTTAAGACAAATTGCTAAACCACACCCCTTAAAAGTTTGATGCATAGGGTCAAAGAATCTGGATTTCTAAGCAGCTTCCAGGTGATGCTAATATTACCGGTCTGGAGACCACATCTTGAGAGGCACTCAGCTAAGCCAATCATGGTATTTTCATTGTTCCCCTTTGCCTGACTGGTTTAGGCCCACGCCCCAGACACAATCCTAGCCAACAGAAACTGAGAGAAAATCATCTGATAAGCTTGCGGACAAGTTTTTCCTTAAAGGGAGGTGGAAGTGTCACAAAAGACTCAATTATATGCTTCCTACAGGAAACGCACCTTAAACATGGGCAAACAAATAAGTTAAAAGTAAATAGCCAGAAAAGTAATCAAAAAATAAAAAATAAAAAACTACCCACAAAGAAAAACCTGGGCCCAGAAGACTTTACTGCTAAACTCTACCAAGTATTTAAAGAAAACATCAGTTCTTCACAAACTCTTCCGAAAAACAGAAGAGGAGGGAATACATCCTAATACATCCTATTAGGGCAGTGTTACCTTGACACCAAAATCAGACATTACAAATTAAGAAACTAACGGCCAATATCACACATGAACACAGATGTAAAAAGTCTAAATATTTCAGTAAATTGAGTCTAACTTCACCATTAGCATATTTCACCATTAATAAGTGGGGTTTATATCAGAAATAAAAAGTTGGTACAAATTCAAACATCAATATAACTTATCAGATTAACTAAAATAGAAAAAGTATATAATATCAATAGAAAAAAAAGGCATTTGACATCCACTCCTGATAAAAATTCTCATCAAATCGGAAACAGAAAGAAACATCCTCAACCTGATTGAAGGCATCTACAAAAACAGCATAGTTAATGGTAAAAGGCTGAATGCTTTGCCTGTGATATCAAACAGACACAGACATTGGCTCTCATCGCTTCTATTTAACACTCTGCTGAAGATCCTAGCCAATGCAATCAGGCATTACATTAAAAACATTTACATTGGAAAGAAACAAGTAAATCTGTCTTTATTCACAGATGACATGATCATCTATGTAAAAAAAATCTGAAGAATCTACAAAAATGATAATAGCATAAGTGAGTTTAGTAGCAAGATTGTAAGATACCAGATTGATGTAGGAAAGTCAATTGTATACTTATATATATTAACAACAAACGAATTCATATTTTTAAAATTTCACTTTTCATTTACTATAGCATTTTTTAAAAAACCATCAGATGCTTAAGGATAAATCTGACAAAAGATGTGTAGGACCTGAACACTGAAGACTACAAAACATTCTGAGAATTAAAGAGGACATAACTGGAGAGATATGCCATTTTCGTGAGTAAGAAAACTAAATATTAAGATGTCAATTCTCCTTAAATTGGTCCACATAATTTGCAAAATCCCAATAGAAATTCCAGCAAGCTTTTTTGTAGAAATGTAGATGATCTAAAATTCATATGGAAATGCAAAGATCTTAGAATAGCCAAACAAATGTTAAAAAAAAAAAATGGAGAGCTATACCACTGATTGAAGCTCATGACAGTAATGAAAACAGTTTAGTGTAGCATAAAAATAAACGGATCAGTGGAAAAAAATAGCCCAGAAATAAAACCACACATATATGGAGGATTTTTAGTAAAACACAATTTAAAGGATAGTCTTTTAAATAAATGGTGTTGGAACAAAATGGGTATCTATATGTGAGAAAAAAAAAAACAAAACTTTGATCCACAGTACAAACACTATCCAAAACTAACTCAAAATAGAGCACAGACAAAAATGTAAAACTTGAAACAGTAACACTTTTATAAGAAACCAAAGGTAAAAGTATGTGTGTCCTTGAGTTGGCAAATGCTTCTTAGATACAATTTATAAGACTGAAAATATGATCCATAAAAGAAAAAACATCAATTGGACTTCATCAAAATTAAAAACTTTTCTTTTTGAAAGACATTGCTAAAAGGATGAGTGATAAACCACAGATTGGGAAAGACATATTTGCAAATCATATATCTACCAAAGAACTTTTATGCAGAAAACAAGAAACTACAAATAGCAAACAACTCAATTTTAAAAATAGACAAAAGTTTCGATTACACATTTCACCAAAGAAGACCTATTATGGCAAACAGCTATATGAAAAGATGTTCATCATTAATCATTAGAAAAATAGCTAAAACCACAATGAGATTCTACCACATACCTATTGGAATGGCTAAAATGAAAAATACTACCCATAGCAAGTGTTAAGAAAGATTTGGTGCCACTGAAAACTTCATACACTGGTTATGAAAATGAAAAATGGTGAAACCACTTTGGAAAAGAGTTTGGCAGCTTCTTAAAAAGTTAACCTACACTTACTCTCTGTTCCAGACACTCAAGTCAGAAGTATTTACCCAAGAGAAATGAAAGCATGTTCATATGAAGACTTAAACATAAATGTCTGCAGTTTTATTTGTCATAACCCAAAACTAAAAACAACCCAAGTGCCCATCAAAAGATGAGTGGATAAACAAGCCATGGTTACAATGATGAAATCTAACAGCTCCCACAATAAAAATGAACTACTGATTCATGTAATAACACAAATTTCAAAATAACTATCTAGCTTGAAAGAAGCCAGACCAAAACAAACAAATGGAAGAGTACATAGTCTGTGACTTTATTGATATAAAACTATAAAAAATGCAAACTGCCTGTAATCCCAGCACTTTTAGAGACCAAGGTGGGCAAATCACAAGGTCAGGAGATCGAGACCATCCTGGCCAACATGGTGAAACCCTGTCTCTACTAAAAATACGAAAATTAGCTGCATGTGGTGGCATGCACCTGTAATCCCAGCTACTCAGGAGGCTGAGGCAAGAGAATCATTTGAACCCGAGAGGTGGAGGTTGCAGTGAGCTGAGATAGTGCCACTGAACTCCAGTCTGGGTGACTAATCTAAACTGACAGAAAACAGATCAGGGGTTGCCTGGGTTGGAGGTAGCAAGGATCAGGAGGGAAAGAATAAGGAAAACAAGGGGCCACAGGAAACTTCAAGTGTTGAAATCTGTTCACTACACATTAACTGTGGTCATGATTTCCCGGGTATATATACATGTTAAAGTCTATCAAATTGTACATTACAAGAATGTGCAGTTTACATATTAATTGTATTCCAATAAAGCAGTTTTTAAAAAGTCACAAGATAAGGAATCACTGCTTTGTGGTTTTGTTTGTTCTGTTTTGAGACATGGTCTTGCTCTGTCACCCAGGCTGGAGTGCAGTGGGACAAACACACCTCACTGCAGCTTTGACCTTCTGAGCTCAAGTAATCCTCCCACCTCAGCCTCCTGAGTTGCTAGGATCATAGGCATGCACCACCACACCCAGCTATTTTATAAGTTTTTTTGTAGAGATGTGGTCTTCCTATGTTGTCGAGGCTGGTCTCAAAAGCCTGGGCTCAAGTGATCTTCCTGCCTTAGCCTCTCAAGGTGCTGGGATTACAGGTGTGACCCACCATGACCAGTACTCAGTGTTCTTAAGATGAGAAATTCATAGCTGCCATCTACCACGTATGTAAAAAGCCATGAATACCACAGCCCTGACAGAAATGAGCCACTAGTTAGTCAACTGTGGAGTTTCCTTATCTCAATACTTTTTTCACCAATTTTCCTTATTTTTTTATTACTATACTTTAAGTTCTGGGATATATGTGCAGAAGGTGCAGGATTTTTTACACAGGTATACACGTGCCATAGTGGTTTGCTGCACCCATCAACTGTCATCTACGTTAGGCATTTCTCCTAATGCTATCCCTCCCCTAGCCCCCCACCCCTCGACAGGCCCTGGTGTGTGATGTTCCACTCCCTGTGTCCATGTGTTCTCATTGTTCAACTCCCACCTATGAGTGAGAACATGCAGTGTTTGGTTTTCTGTTCCTGTGTTAGTTTGCTGAGAATGATGGTTTCCAGCTTCATCCATGTCCCTGCAAAGGACATGAACTCATCCTTTTTTTATGGCTGAACAGTATTCCATGGTGTGTATGTGCCACATTTTCTTTATCCAGTCTACTATTGATGGGCATTTGGGTTGGTTCCAAGTCTTTACTATTGTGAACAGTGCCACAATAAACATACGTGTGCATGTGTCTTTATAGTAGAATGATTTATAATCCTTTGGGTATATACCCAGTAATGGGATGGCTGGGTCAAATGATATTTCTGGTTCTAGATCCTTGAGGAATCGCCACACTGTCTTCTACAATGGTTGAACTAATTTACACTCCCACCAACAGTGTAAAAGTGTTCCTATTTCTCCACATCCTCTCCAGCATCTGTTGTTTCCTGACTTTTTAATGATCGCCATTCTAACTGGTGTGAGATGCTATCTCATTGTGGTTTTGATTTACATTTCTCTAATGACCAGTGATGATGAGCTTTTTTTCATGTTTGCTGGCCGCATAAATGTCTTCTGTTGAGAAGTGTCTGTTCATATCCTTCGCCCACTTTTTGATGGGGTTGTTTTTTTCTTGTAAATTTGTTTAAGTTCCTTGTGGATTCTGGATATTAGCGCTTTGTCAGGTGGATAGATTGCAAAAATTTTCTCCCATTCAGTAGGCTGCATAAGCTCTTTAGTTTAATTAGATCCCATTTGTCAATTTTGGCTTTTGTTGCCATTGCTCTTGGTGTTTTACTCATGAAGTCTTTGCCCATGCCCATGTCCTGAATGGTATTGCCCAGGTTTTCTTCTAGGGTTTTTACGGTTTTAGGTCTTACGTTTAAATCTTTAATCTATCTTGAGTTAATTTTTGCATAAGGTGTAAGGAAGGGGTCTGGTTTCAGTTTTCTGCATATGGCTAGCCAGTTTTCCCAGCACCATTTATTAAATAGGGAATCCTTTCCCCATTACTTGTTTTGGTCAGGTTTGTCAAAGATCAGATGGTTGTAAATGTGTGGCATTATTTCTGAGGCCTCTGTTCTGTTCCATTGGTCTATATATCTGTTTTGGTACCAGTACCATGCTGTTTTGGTTACAGTAGCTTTGTAGTAGAGTTTGAAATCAGGTAGCATGATACCTCCAGCTTTGTTCTTTTTGCTTAGGATTGTCTTGGCTATATGGGCTCTTTTTTGGTTCCATATGAAATTTGAAATAGTTTTTTCTAATTATGTGAAGAAAGTCAATGGTAGCTTGATGGGGATGGCACTGAATCTATAAATTACTTTGGGCAGTATGGCCATTTTGACGATATTGATTCTTCCTATCCATGAGCATGGAATGTATTTCCATTTGTTTGTGTCCGCTCTGATTTCCTTGAGCACTGGTTTGTAGTACTTGAAAACGTCCTTCACATTTCTTGTGAGTTGTATTTCTAGATATTTTATTCTCTTTGTAGCAATTGTGAATGGGAGTTCACTCATGATTTGGCTGTTCATTATTAGTGTATAGAAATACTTGTGATTTTTTGCACATTGATTTTGTATCCTGAGACTTTGCTGAAGTTGCTTATCAGCTTAAGGTGATTTTGGGCTGAGATGATGGGGTTTTCTCAATATACAATCATGTCATCTGCAAACAGAGACAATTTGACTTCCTCTCTTCCTATTTGAATACCATTTCTTTCTTTCTCTTGTCTGATTGCCCTGGCCAGAACTTCCAATACTATGTTGAATAGGAGTGGTGAGAGAGGGCATCTTTGTCTTGTGCCAGTTTTCAAAAGGAATGCTTCCAGCTTTTGCCAATTCAGTATGATACTGGCTGTGGGTTTGTCATAAATAGCTCTTATTATTTTGAGATACATTCCATCAATACCTAGTTTATTGAGAGTTTTTAAGCATGAAAGGGTGATAAATTTTATCGATGCCTTTTTCTGCACCTATTAATTATGTGGTTTTGTGATTGGTTCTGTTTATGTGATGATTATGTTTATGATTTGCATATGTTGAACCAGCCCTGCATCCCGGGGATGAAGCCGACTTGACCGTGGTGGATAAGCTTTTTGATGTGCTGTTGGATTCGATTTGCCAGTATTTTACTGAGGATTTTCACATCGATGTTCATCAGGGATATTGGGCTGAAATTTTCTTTTTTATTTGTGTCTCTGCCAGGTTTTGGTATCAGGATGATGCTGGTCTCATAAAATGAGTTAGGGAGGAGCCCCTCTCTTTCTATTGTTTGGAATAGTTTCAGAAGGAATGGTACCAGCTCCTCTTTGCACCTCTGGTAGAATCTGGCTCTGAATCCATCTGATCCTGGGCTTTTTTTGGTTGATAGGTTATTAATTACTGCCTTAATTCCAGAATTTATTACTGGTCTATTCAGGGATTCGACTTCTTCCTGGTTTAGTCTGGGGAGGGTGTTTGTGTCCAGAAATTGATCCATTTCTTCTAGATTTCCTAGTTTATTTTCATAGAGGTATTTATAGTATTCTCAGATGGTAGTTTGTATTTCTGTGGGATCAGTGGTGATATCCCCTTTATCATTTTTTATTGTGTGTATTTGATTCTTCTCTCTTTTCTTCTTTAATAGTCTGGCTAGCGGTCTATCTATTTTGTTGGTCTTTTCAAAAAACCAGCTCCTGGATTCATTAACTTTTTAAAAGGGTTTTTCATGTCTCTATCTCCTTCAGTTCTGCTTAGTTATTTCTTGTTGTCTGCTAGCTTTTGAATTTGTTTGCTCTTGCTTCTCTAGTTCTGTTAATTGTGATATTAGGGTGTTGATCTGAGATCTTTCCTGCTTTCTCTGGTGGGCATTTAGTGCTATAAATTTCCCTCTGAACACTGCTTTAGCTGTGTCCCATAGATTCTGGGACATTGTGTCTTTGTTCTCATTGGTTTTAAAGAACTTATTTCTGCCTTAATTTCTTTATTTACCCAGTAGTCATTCAGGAGCAGGTTGTTCAGTTTCCATGTAATTGTGCGGTTTTCAGTCAGTTTCTTAATCCTGCGTTCTAATTTGATTGCACTGTGGTCTGAGAGACTGTTATGATTTCCATTCTTTTGCCTTTGCTGAGGAGTGTTTTACTTCCAATTATGTGGTCAATTTTAGAATAAGTGTGACATGGTGCTGAAAAGAATGTATATTCTGTTGATTTGGGGTGGAGAGTTCTGTAGATGTCTATTAGGCCCACTTGGTCCACAGCTGAGTTCAAGTCCTGAATATCCTTGCTAATTTTCTGTCTCATTGATCTAATATTGACAGTGGGGTGTTAGAGTCTCCCACTATTATTGTGTGGGAGTCTAAGTCTCCTTGTAGGTCTCTAAGAACTTGTTTTATGAATCTGGGTCCTCCTGTATTGGGTGGATATATATTTAGGATAGTTAGCTCTTCTTGTTGCACTGATCCCTTTACCATTATGTGATGCCCTTCTTTGTCTCTTTTGATCTTTGTTGGTTTAAAGTCTGTTTTATCAGAGACTAGGATTGCAACCCATGTTTTTTTGTTTTGTTTTTTTTTGTTTTCCATTTGCTTGGTAAATATTCCTCCATCCCTTTATTTTGAGCCTATATGTGCCTTTGCATGTGAGATGGGTCTCCTGAATACAGCACACCAATGGGTCTTGACTCTTTATACAATTTGCCAATCTGTGTCTTTTAATTGGGGTATTTATCCCATTTACGTTTAAGGTTAATATTGTTATGTGTGAATTTGATCCTGTCATTATGATGCCAGCTGGTTATTTTGCCCATTAGTTGATGTGGTTTCTTCATAGTATCACTGGTCTTTACAATTTGGTATGTTTTTGCAGTGGCTGGTACTGGTTTTTCCTTTCCATTGTTAGTTCTTCCAAGGCCAGATGCGGTGGCTCACACCTGTAATCCCAGCACTTTGGGAGGCTGAGCCTGGCAGATCATCTGAGGTCAGGAGTTCAAGACCAGCCTGACCAATGTGGCAAAACCCCGCCTCTACTAAAAATACAAAAAATTACCCAGGCCTGGTAGTGGGTGCCTGTAATCCCAACTACTCAGGAGGCAGAGGCAGAGGAATCACTTGAACCTGGGAGGCGGGGGTTGCAGTGAGCCGAGATCGCGCCATTGCACTCCGGCCTGGGTGACAGAGTGAGACTCTGTCTCAAAAACAACAACAACAACAACAATATATTTAGTGCTTCCTTCAGGAGCTCTTGTAAGGCAGGACTGGAGGTGACAAAATCTCTCAGCATTAGCTTGTCTGTAAAGGATTTTATTTTTCCTTCGCTTTTGAAGCTTCATTTGGCTGGATATGAAATTCTGGGTTGAAAATTCTTTTCTTTAAGAATGTTGAATATTGGCCCCCACTCTCTTCTGGCTTGTAGGGTTTCTACAGAGAGATCCGCTGTTAGTCTAATGGGCTTCCCTTTGTGGGTAATTCCTCTTTGGCTGCTCTTAACTTTATTCCCTTCATTTCCACCTTGGTGAATCTGACAATTTTGTGTCTTGGAGTTGTTCTTCTCGAGGAGTATCTTTGTTGTGTTCTGTGTATTTCCTGCATTTGAATGTTGGCCTGTCTTGCTAGGTTGGGAAAGGTCTCCTGGATAATATCCTGAAGAGTGTTTTCCAACTTGGTTCCATTCTCCCAGTCACTTTCAGGTACACCAAATGTAGGTTTGGTCTTTTCACATAGTCCCATATTTCTTGGAGGCTTTGTTAATTCCTTTTCATTTGTTTTTCTCTAATCTTGTCTTCATGCTTTATTTCATTAAGGTGATCTTCAATCTCTGATATACCTTCTTCTGCTTGATTGATTTGGCTATTGATACTTGTGTATGCTTCATGAAGTTCTCGTGCTGTGTTTTTCAGCTCCATCAGGTCATTTATGTTCTTCCCTGAACTGGTTGTTCTAGTTAGCAATTCCTCCAACCTTTTTTCAAAGTTCTTAGCTTCCTTGCATTGTATTAGAACATGCTCCTTTAGCTCGGAGGAGTTTGTTATTACCCACCTTCTGAAGTCTATTTCTGTCAATTCATCAAACTCATTCTCCGTCCAGTTTTGTTCCCTTGCTGGCAAGGAGTTGTGATCCTTTGGAGGAGAAGAGGCATTCTGGTTTTTGGAATTTTCAGCCTTTTTGCACTGTTTTTTCCTCATCTTCGTGGATTTATCTACCTTTGGTCTTTGATGTTGGTGACCTTTGGATGGGGTTTCTGTGTGGACGTCCTTTTTATTGATGCTGATGCTATTCCTTTCTGTTTGTTAGTTTTCCTTCTAACAGTCAGACTCCTCTGCTGCAGGTCTGCTGGGGTTTTCCTGAGGTCCACTCCAGACTCTGTATGTCTGGGTATCACCAGCAGTAGCTGCAGAACAGCAAAGATTGCTGCCTGTTCCTTCCTCTGGAAGCTTTGTTCCAGAGGGGCACCTGCCAGATGCGAGCCAGAGCTCTCCCGTATGAGGTGTCTGTCAACCCCTGCTGGAGAATTCATGTTTCTGTCTGAGCTTGTGCCTGTTGTTTTCAAATCCCTCTCAGCTACCATCTGAAACTGCTATCTAAAGCACGGCTCTGCCTGTTACCTCCAGTATCCAATGGGAGAATTGCTGATCTCTTCTGCTGCTAGGAAGCTTCCTCCAACCAGCTTGACTCTGGATTCCAGATACTCCCATTCACTTTTTTTGATAGAGTCCTTTTTTTGTTTGTAGGGGAACACCACAGTAAGGTGTCTTCAATTACTTAGGGCCTATGTGATACAAATATTTCATTTGTCCACACTGCCTCACAGCATATTCAAAAGCAGTGCTCATTTCTACAGGCACATTCAGTTTCTAAGTGACCCACTATGCCATGTTCACTTATGGAGATTTCTCTTTCATACTCCATAGTCCAATTCCTATTGTCTGGTACTATATCTCATTCCCACTCCGCATTTCATAGAAGGTAGGGATGATCATGGCACTAAAAGCAGTGAATCCAGTTGAAAGTCTACCTAAGGGACAACTGGAATCCCAAATCCCCTCCAATACAGCCAGTCCTACCACCCCTCTTCATCTCAACCTGAGATCAGAGACTTTGCTATGTGAATAAGCTGATCCAGAGAAGCCCTGACTTCAGGCACACCAAACTTAGCTGAAGGATAAATGAGGTACCTTACTTAACCAAACATTAAATGGAAGTCCACATGCTGACTCGTTAGAATTCTGGTCCCATTTCTTTCTTTATATTCCTAGAAATGACTGCCTTGCTTACATCTCCTAGGAGTATAGAAGGTTTATGCATAGAGAAAAAGATGAATCCAAGAGAAGACCTAGAGATGCTTGAATGTGGCCTGGCTACCCATCCAATCACTAGTAAACTGCACCAAGGAGCTCCATCCATTAAGAGCTTTAGATCGGCTTCGGCACCTCCTTTGGGTATGAACAGACAACCAGTGACACCAAATATGTGAAATATTCCTTTTACATGAAACACTGAGACTAAAAGTAGAGGGAGTAAAGAGAACCAAAGAGAAAAACAATGCAGGGAACAGATGAAAATGTCAAGACGAATATAATTTATATCATCTAAAAGAAAATGTTACATTCACACACACACACAAGCACACACATACACATGGATATTGAAAAAAACAGTTTATTCATGCTTGGGAAATGAAACTATCATAGCAAAAACAAAAGAGTCAGTAAATGAGTTTGGAATATCAAGTTGAAGAAGTCTCCTGAAAACAAAATAAAAACAGATTAGCAATGGGATAAGACAGATAAGAAAATCAAGTGATTAAGCCAGATGGAATGACCTACATCTGTCTGTTACAAGTTCTTAAAAAAAAGAAAGAAAGAAAAGAAAGAAACTGGAAAGTTATTTTGAAGAAAAAAAAAAGAGCAAGAAAATTTCCAGAGTGGAAGTCAGGCCATGCAATTCTAGAGTGAAAGTGTGCACGAATGTCCAGTATATTAAATAAAATAACCCATACCAAGGTACAACATGACATTTTAGAATACTAGGAATAAAGGAAGCAAAAGAAAAAGTCAAAAAGGATTAGATATCCAAACACAGTGCACTCAACAGCTAGAACATAACAGAAGCTAGAACAAAATGGAACAGTGCCTTCAAACATGAGGGAAAGGTTAACTTAGACTTTTATAGCCAGTCCAACTATGAATCTTATGTAAGGGCAGAACAATGACATTTTCAAATACGCAGGATCTCAAAGTGTGCCTCTCCTGCAGGTCTCCTTTCTCAGAAAGCTATTGAAGGCTGTGCCCCACCTAAGAGAATAAAAAAAATACAAACGAAAAGGATTTAAGAAGAAGGGAATCCACATTGCCAAGAAACTGAAAGAGTTCCCATGGCAACAGCAGTATGCATCCAGCTTAGGGGGCAAACAGTAAAAACTAGAGCAATGAGATTAAGAGTTTCAGAGGGGATAGCACTACAATATAAATTTTAAAAAAGCAGATTTAACAGACTGCCAAATGTGTATGACCTTAATGAGGGATTTTATGGCTCCTTTAGCGTGTTTGGGGAAATAATTTCTGATAGGTAATTAAAGAAAGTGAAGAGGAGAGAAGAAGTGCCATTACTAACTCTTGGAGGAACAAAGGGGTCAGAGAAAATACATGTTTAACATGCAATTAACAGGACTTAGCTAGTAAATTATAATCATAATGCAGACATTAAATATAAAAGAAAAACCATAAAAACCATTATGAGAAGGGAAAAGAGATATGGTAGTCAAGGGTGAGAGGAAGAGAGCTAAGTTTTCTTCTTTCATAATAAGTCCATAGATGTCTAAGATCATAAAAGTATAAAGACTGTTTAGGAAAAAGAAACAGCTAGTAGAGTATAAAGTGATGCCTATGTGAAGGACTCAGCAGGAGGAGGGAGTAGAGGACTGCTTCCTGTAATAAGCCTAACAAGGGGAGTTTTGAAAACTACTAACATGTTATTATATTATTTTGATAAAACTGTTGAGGTGCTATACAAATGTATGGCATTAAGACAGAAGTGATCATTTTCAGAGTCAGTCTCCTGACAGTGAGCAGGATAGCTTTGAGCCTAGTGTTTCTATGACTTGGCCTAGAGCTGGATTTAAAGAAAGAAAAAGCCCACAATAACCCTGAATGTTTCCAATGAAGTATGACAATTGTCTAGAAAAAAAAAGTCTCAGTTATTCTCAAAATATTTGGTTCTAAAGTCATCTTTTTGCAGATAATACAAAAAACTAGTTATAGAGATCATGTGGCTAAAAACTCCTTGAGTACAACACAGCTCCAAAATTAGATAGGCAAGGTTTTTAAAAAAAAAAAAAAATCTGTATTTCTCCTATATAGCTCTAACCCTCCAAAAAGTCATTTTAAAAATCACTTTATTCAATGTCATTAGAATGCAAGTAACATTTACAATGTCCTATCTGGCCATCATTAGTACATCATACATTCTAGTGACTTATAAACATTTTTTTCAACTTCAGTAGTTTCATTAATGGTATATTGGATTCTGGCAAGAGCATCTGAAAAGTCTTAATCTAAATTTTCAGAATTCTTCAAATTATATTTGAAATATACATTTCAAACTACTATTTGGAATGTCACTCTAATTTTCTTTAACTTTTCTTAAATTGCTTCCAAACCACACACACCAGAAACTACTATCCTTCTCATAGAACCCCTTCTTTTCCATACACATCACATTCTATGCTGGGAGAACAAAAATAATATAAAGCCCATGATAACCCTGAATGTTTCCAATGAAGTATGACAACTGTCTGGAAAACAAAGTCTCAGTTATTCTCAAAATATTTGGTTCTAAAGTCATCTTTTTGCAGATAATACAAAAAACAAATGGTACAGTCACATATGTATACACACAAGTATATATTTTATGTGTGTATATATACATATAAAACCTCTGTATATACAGTTTCTATGTATATATACATATAAAACCTCTGTATATACAGTTTCTATGTATATATACATATAAAACCTCTGTATATACAGTTTCTATGTATATATACATATAAAACCTCTGTATATACAGTTTCTATGTATATATACATATAAAACCTCTGTATATACAGTTTCTATGTATATATACATATAAAACCTCTGTATATACAGTTTCTATGTATATATACATATAAAACCTCTGTATATACAGTTTCTATGTATATATACATATAAAACCTCTGTATATACAGTTTCTATGTATATATACATATAAAACCTCTGTATATACAGTTTCTATGTATATATACATATAAAACCTCTGTATATACAGTTTCTATGTATATATACATATAAAACCTCTGTATATACAGTTTCTATGTATATATACATATAAAACCTCTGTATATACAGTTTCTATGTATATATACATATAAAACCTCTGTATATACAGTTTCTATGTATATATACATATAAAACCTCTGTATATACAGTTTCTATGTATATATACATATAAAACCTCTGTATATACAGTTTCTATGTATATATACATATAAAACCTCTGTATATACAGTTTCTATGTATATATACATATAAAACCTCTGTATATACAGTTTCTATGTATATATACATATAAAACCTCTGTATATACAGTTTCTATGTATATATACATATAAAACCTCTGTATATACAGTTTCTATGTATATATACATATAAAACCTATGTATATATTTTCTATATATATACATATAAAACATATGTACATATATTTTCTATGTATATATACATATAAAACATATGTATATATATTTTCTATGTATATATATACATATAAAACATATGTATATATATTTTCTATGTATATATATACATATAAAACATATGTATATATATTTTCTATGTATATATATACATATAAAACATATGTATATATATTTTCTATGTATATATATACATATAAAACATGTATATATATTTTCTATGTATATATATACATATAAAACATGTATATATATTTTCTATGTATATATATACATATAAAACATATGTATATATATTTTATATGTGTATATATACACATATAAAAATATATATGTGTGTGTGTATATATATATATATAATTTTTTTTTTTTAGACCTGCCACTGAAAAGTAATATGTGGTAATTTTCAGACAAATAATTTTAAGAGCCTTCAATCTCTGCAAGTTTTATTTTAAGGAAAGCTGAAACATCAACACTAATAAGCACGATCAACGAATCTTTAGTTCTCTGTAACAGTGTTTGAGTCACTGGCACCTGCTAGGATCAAACTAGATAGCCACTACAATACTTAGTTCCAACAGGCTCTTAAAAGGATACATGAAGTTCAAGCGTTACTTACTAAGCTGTCCTATAACAAACTTTCCCTCCACCCCCAACCCTGCCTCGCCCAGTTGCAGGTAAACTACTTCAGCACCTCACTTCAACATTTAAAAGTTACTTATTTCAAACACACGTCATACACTTCAGTCAACTCCATTTGCTCCTAGAAAACATTGTACATTTTCAATTAGCACTGTCAAAAAGGGAAGCACCCTCTGGTCTTTTCACTGAAAATCAATTATGCAAAAAACAGTTTAGGTGGTCTAATTTAGTTGTGCCATATGTATAGCACAAGGTGTTCAACAGCTTTGATGAAAAATTGGCAATGATGTTAGCCAGCTGTCTGGGGTCTTGGTATTACATGTGGAAGATGAATATCTCATTCATTAAATTTTTCTTAATTTGTACAAGTCACCATTTTTCCTTGTATAATTAACAACTTTTCCATTGTCTTTCCCAGTTGGGAAAGTTAAAAATCCTTGCCACATCCTGTTTATATAGTCTCAATGTTCTGTTAATTGTCATTCTACTAAAATAAAGCCTCCTTATATGGCTGCATTTTATATTGGCTGACTTATTTTTATCGTGGCATTTTCTCATATAGAACCATCTTCCTGGTTGAGGTGTGCAAGACCTAACTTCCCTTCAGAGTACTATACTATCTTCAGTGCTTTTCCACCTGCTTTCTCCGTTTTGCTTTCAAACAGTATAGAGTTTTGTTAACTTTGATCATAATGCAAAAATACGTTTAATATTTCCACATCTATAAAACTAAAACATATTTAATCAAAGCAAGCATTGTATTATAAGATGTGATAAACTCTGATTTTCTATTCTACTGCACTTCACTTTTTTAAAATGCTGGTCAATCCACTAAATTGACTTTATAAACTTACTAATGAGTTACACAGCTAGCTCTGGGGAAAAAAAAATATCAGTGATGTAAACACTTCTGAATCTGGACAAATAATCTGATTTTTAGTCTGAACTCTATCAGTAACTAGAAGAGCTTACATAAGCCATTTTGCCTCAGAGCTCCCGTCCCTCAACACTGAAATAAGAGGGCTGAAACAGGTCATAGGAAGGTCTAGTATGCAGTTAGCTAATGGCTCCCATTGCCACTTCAGACCAATCTGAATTACTCTGTTTGTACTCTGGTGCTGCAGAGCCTGGTGACATTAGGACAAATATAAATCTTAAAAACATTTCTTCCATAAAGATAGAAAAAGCATCCAATCACACTGTGTCCCATGTATGCATGGATATTTTAGTCCCTTTGAGCTTTTTATTTGCTCCTGATACTCAGACTTTTCCCTTTTCCTTTCTAGCCAATGGCCTTCTGGAGAGCTAAGCCTATCAAATTAGTAAGATAACTGAGGAATCAGTATAGCAGGATGAGAGTTTTACTATAGGGCTATAAGATGACTTAAGAATTCAGGTTCACGATAGCAAAGACTTGGAACCAACCCAAATGTCCAACAATGATAGACTGGATTAAGAAAATGTGGCACATATACACCATGGAATACTATGCAGCCATAAAAAATGATGAGTTCATGTCCTTTGTAGGGACATGGATGAAATTGGAAATCATCATTCTCAGTAAACTATCGCAAGAACAAAAAACCAAACACCGCATATTCTCACTCATAGGTGGGAATTGAACAATGAGATCACATGGACACAGGAAGGGGAATATCACATTCTGGGGACTGTAGTGGGGTGGGGGGAGGGGGGAGGGATAGCATTGGGAGATATACCTAATGCTAGATGATGAGTTAGTGGGTGCAGCGCACCAGCATGGCACATGTATACATATGTAACTAACCTGCACAATGTGCACATGTACCCTAAAACTTAAAGTATAATAATAAAAAATAAATAAATAAGTAAAGAAAGAAAGAAAGAAAGAAAGAATTCAGGTTCTGGAATTGCCATCAACTTTAACTTTCTGAGACACTTAATTCCAGCAATACTGTGCTAAGATAATCAGGTAGTATTAAGGCAACATTCAAGACTTAAAATTCAATTAAGATAAATATTCAAAGAAATAAGAAAATTGTTTCATCAAAGCTTTTTTGTCAAAAGGGAGAGCATAACACTCCATTCTCTTTAAAGCTGTTTTTTTTAAGATACTACTTATAGGTTAAATAATTATTCAGAAAAATGATCTCAAAGACCTGGTTAATCATTAACTAATGAACTATCATAAAGAAAATATTGGTTCTGTTAGTCATGATTTTCCTTACACACATAACTCTTAACCCAAATATTGTCCAAGTTGTTAATAAAAGGAAAATAATGTATTCTAAGGTTTTATTAGAAAAGATATACTTACATAAAAGAATAGCTAAAATATCCAGTGATTAATCTACATTTGTAAACTTTCCTGAACTTATGACATTTTTAGCAGGAAGTGCTATTCTAAATAAATAAGCAAACACATTTTGTTCAACCCATTAGGATGAAATCACAATAAAAAATGCATGAAAAACTGTAGGTGATACAGTTAACAGTAACTTGTTCCTTAATATTGTTACTCTAATAATGATGCCTTTGTTACTGGGAGATGTGATGTCACATGAATACACAAATGTCCAATGTATGTTCAATGAAAGGCAAGTGTTAAAAAAAACTGATGTGTATATGTTTGTATATTGATTGTTGTAATTATATTTTTTTATCTTGAAGGAGCTGCAGAGTATTAACAGGGTGAATTCTGAGTCACGGTAATAAATTGGGGACAAGGAAGATAATTTTTGTGACCTTATACCTACATCTATGTTTTAGTTTTTTTACAATGAGCATGTAAAACTTGTAGTTTTAAATATTTTTAAAATAAGGTACTATATACCCACTCCAGTTGTTTCTTAATAAACACAGGAAATAAAAATAAGTTGCCATCCTGCAAACATATCAGGGAACCAAATGAACAGCACTCTTATTTCTGAGACCACACTACTGGGACACTATAGTCTGCAGTGATAAAGGAACAGAGTGCTTTGCAAGCATTAACAAGTGGGTTAAACTTTAAAAATTAAACCCTGTTGATATTTTCTTCATCAAAAAGATTTGCAATGCAAACAAAATCTTGATGCATAAAATGTAATAATAAAATTATGTAAATCAGGTAACTTTAAAATTTTTAAGACCATCCCACTAAGATTAATGAACCCTCCTTGTTTTTCCACCTGGAATTCTAATCTCAGGCTTGTTTTCAGGAAGATTCTCTGCCATTTGTCTCTAGAAACATTTGTAAAGCATCAAGGCTTTGATTTATTCACCTGTGTACTTGTTGAATGAAATAGAACCTGCTTCAACTTTGATTTGCTTCAAACCATCTGAAGAGCTAATATACTAATACCACTAAGTGGGTGATTTCTGTTAAAGTTGATTATTTCAATGCTATTTGGACAAAATTAAACTATAAAAAGAAAGCCTAGGTACCAAAATGCTAGTAATAGGATGCTAACTAAATATGACAGAAATCCATTCAAAAGAAGGAAAGTTATTAATAGATTACTAATCTCATATTTACAAACAATATCACAATAAATTTTAAAATGCAAATATTTTAAGCATAAAACTGATCCCATATATCTCCCCATCAAAAATGTAAACAAGTTTCCTTCCACTGTTTACATACATACCATCAGAAAAGGCTAAGTAGGGACTAAATCAACCTAAAATAATTTGAAAGTGGCATAAGGGCTGAGAGTTATTAGTGAAATCTAAGGACCATCATGAGAGCATTTTCTAGTACCACATTCAGACTGAAACTGAGATTACTTTACAGAAATAAGGGTGCAGCTTTGAAAAAATGGCTTAAAGTTCCCAAAAGTGATGAGTTGTTTGATTTTTTTACACCTTGAGCTACCTGCACAGCTGCCAAAAAGTATTAAGGTGGATGATGAATACACCTCTGAAAGGCTTACTGTAACTCCATATATTTTGATTCTTGAATGAAACCAATTAACTAATGTACTTTACAGTTAGAGCTCTCACATGACAGAGTGTAAGGGAAAAGGAACACTGCAGTTCCCAATAGGAAACCAGTAAGGATCTCCATTTCCCAATCCCTTCCATGCAATCATGCAACAGAGACACAAAGAAAGTAATGAAAACACAGCTTGGAAAAACAGAA
Organism: Homo sapiens; assembly: GCF_000001405.40. Lineage (NCBI taxonomy): Eukaryota > Metazoa > Chordata > Mammalia > Primates > Hominidae > Homo > Homo sapiens. Next base: position 77,699,504 of record NC_000013.11, on the reverse strand, counting down.
AGGGTCCTACATAAAAAGGACCTAAAGTAAAGAAGGACTACAGCAAGCCTCCCCCTAAAGTTACTCATTCATGGAAAGTAGACAGTGCTAACCAGATGTCAACTGAATAAATGCTGTCAGCCTCAAGTTTTCTGATAACCAAGCTAAAAAGTTTCCAAGAAATAAGAAAATAAGGCTTCTCTAATCTCACTTTTCTTCTACAGTTTAATTTAAAAAATTAAAGACAGTTCGTTGGTTCCTAGGTAAAAAAATAAATAAATAAATAAAAAAGTCCCTCCCACCTGTTCATTCCACTCCAAGAAAAGTCCTCTTTATTGGCACTATTTATGGGAAAGCCAGTGAGGTCACCCCATTTTAAAAAGCAAGTCAGTCTCTGAAAATAAGATTTCAATGAAAATGCAACGCAAAAGGGCACACGACTGCAAAATTCAAACAGCAAGAACGAACCTCTCTATAAAGAGAGATCCATCACTGCGCGGCTTCCGATGCCACCCGAGGAGGAAGAGCACGCAAATCCTGTCCAGCGTTCGTTTAAAACGAAAGAACAGTAACAGTCGCAGACAGAGGCCAACCCCTACCATCCCCCGTCATCCCTCCGAAAACACTGGGGAAAAGAGCAGCACTGAGCAAAAAGACAAGATGACATGGATTTTGCACTTAATGCTAACGAGGAGCTTGGGACCCAACAATCAGCAAATAGCAGAACCCATGGCAGATGGGGGGAAGGGGGGGCCGGTTCATCCGCAGTCGGAGCGATTAGAAAACAGGTTTCTGCCTTCATGAGAAGCCTCATCGTGGGAAGTGTCACCGCCTGGCTCAACACCTGCTGGGTCGGCCCCTCCGGGAGCCGCGGGGAGTCACCCCGGCTGCCGCGAGGGGACCCCCGTCCGCCCCCCGCCCCCGCTCCCCGGTGCCCGAAGCCCCCGAGGCCAGGGTCTCGGGGAAGGAGCGGAGCCAGGCAGTACCAGGTGTAGTCGTCCTCGTCCCGCCAGGCGGCTACGCTCTCCAGATCCAGCAATTCCACCTCGTCCAGCAGCGTGGGGGGCGGCGAGGGCGGCGCTGCAGCTGCCCCTGGCGGCGTCCCCGCGCCCCCCGGCTCCGGCCCGCCACCGCCCGCGCCGAAGAAGCCTGCTGCCGGCTTGAAGTAGACGAAGGGCGCCTCGGGTGGCTGCGCCAGGCTGCAAAGCAGGGAGGGCGCGGGGCTAGGCAGGCAGAAGGTGCCCGGGAACGCGGGGCTGGAGCCACCGCCGCTGCCACTACCGCTGCCGCCACCGCCCCCCGCGCCCAGCGCCAGCCCGAGCCCCAGGCCCCCTGAGGCCGCGGCGGTGGCCGTGGCGGCCGGGGGGCTCCGAGGACCCAAAGGCTGCAGGCCAGCGGGGGGCGGCGCGGCGGGCGGCGGCGGCGGCAGCAGCAGCAGGTGCGGGGCGGCGGCCGCGCTGGCCGCTCGACTCCGCAGCTGCTCGTTCTGCTTCTCCAGCTTGCGCACCAGCTCCTGCAGCTTCTTCACCTCCAGCTCCGCGTTCACCACCGGCCCGGAGCCCGCTCCAGAGCTGACCCCTGCCGAGGCGCATTTCACCTGCTCCGCCATCATCGTGGGCCCCGAGGGCGCCGCGGCCGCCGGGGAGTGCGCGCCGCCGCGCCGGCTCCTCGGGCCACGGGGAGGCTACGGCTCCTTCCCTGTCGCCCCGGCCTGGGGGGCCGACCACGCGCGGGCTGAGGCCGAGCCGGCGGTTCGCATCAGCACCGGGCCCTCGCCTCCGGCCGCGGCAGCCACCACCGAGCTGATCTGCACATGCTCAGTGCGTCCCTCCAGTCCCCTGGGCGTCGCGGCGGCTCCGGGTTTTAGCCGCGGCCCCGGAGCGGGGCGGGGCAAGAGCGCCGAGGGGGCGGGTGGGGGGGGGGGGGCGGAGAACCGTGGGGAAGCCCACCCAGGGGGCGGGGCCGGCAGCCCGGGTTGGGGCCGGGGAGCCGCACCCACCCTCGCTACCTAATCCCAGGGGCCTGATTGGACCTGGCCTGAACTTTCCCGCCACAAGCACCTCCTCCTGCCGCTTGGTGGGACAGTGAACTGCGCGGGTCTCTGAGGCGGTTGCGGGGACCAGGGGGTTCCCAAAGAAGCAGCTGCAGGTGCTGGCCCTCGAGTAGTGCACCACCGGCCCGCTGGTTTGCTCCCTTCCCAGCTCTCTGTTAGGCTCCGTGACAGCACTTAATAGCCACTGGCTAACGAATCCTATAGAAAACTTAAAGGCTGGGGATCGTTATTCTAAAAACCGAAAAGTGGAGATAGGGGGAACAGAAAGGCTTTGGGACCATGCCACTCATGTTCTCATTGGTAATAGAGAAGCAAAATGGTGGGAGACAGGAGACCGAGAAGAAAGAGAAGAAAGCCCTCTCTCTAAGAGGTAGAGTGGCCAGCTGCTAAGGAGACAAGTGTTTACTTATTTATTCTAAAATAGTCAAATTTGAACTGTTACCATCATTGTTTGTCACAATAAAAGAAGAACTGCTTTTTTTTTCATACTATGTATATTCATGCATTCCCCAAACAAAAGATCTTTGAGCACCTACTCTGTGCCAGGAACCATTCTAAGAGCTCGTGATGCGGGCAATGAGTACAATAGGCAAAAATGGTTATGGGGAGAAATATGAGTAAAATTGTTTAGTGCTCCTTCTATTAAATAATGTGTAAGTTATTAAAGTCAGACTTGCTGGTGGGAAAGCAGAAAACAGAAAACCTCAGAATTCTACCCAATACACTTTAATCTCACCTGCAAACCTGCTATTTCTTACCACTTGGAAAACGAGCAAATCTGCTTTTTTTAAAAGAGGCTTTTAAGCAGAAGAATTTAATCGAGTTGTGTTCAATGAATACTGACTGACTTAGCATTTTGAGTGTTTAACACAATCAGAGGAAAACCTGAGATTATATTATGAGAAAAATCTACACCACTGGTTCTCATCCTCAGATGATATACTATCTAGTGAAAGTCCTTGCTAGGGACTTTACATACCAATCTTTGTGACAATGTACCTCATTTCTCTGGAGCTGCTAACACATCGTATCTATTGGTTTCAGATATGGTTTTGTGTCTTCCTGCTCAGAAACACTTGTATCTTCTCAGTTGTTAATCTACATCTCTAGCTTCTGTGTGCAGGGTGGATGTTCTGCATTTAACATGCTTGGTGAGCGCTTCCATAAATTAGCTAAATGCGTGTGATGACTCCCTTAACCTTCCCTGTGTCCCAGCTTGCTAGCCCACCACCTAACCACCTGTATCACCCATCACCTTTCCAAGTTTCGGTATATCTTTAGGATTTTTTTTGGTTATTACCAAAACCTGGAGAAATGGAGTAATACTACTGAAAGTCCTAAGTAAAGAATCTATTGAAGGATTTTTCCCGCATGCTCAGTGGCAGATGCGGGTAGCAGTATCTCCCTGCAACACAAAGAAAGGGAGACGACAGACACAATGAGAACAAAGAGCTGCTGGGTCCCAGACTAGAGAAAGAAATTGGGAATAGGCACATAATAGTGAAGACAACAAGAATTAAGATGTAAAGAAAAGCCGTCATTTTACTGCACAATTTATATACACTCTAAAGAAGGAGAGAAACAGACAGCCCTTTCCTCCTTCATTTACCCAATATGGTCTATATACATCCAACAAGCAGTAGCCAAGCTTTTGAACCCTGTTTTCTAAGTAATAATTATCATAAAAATCTTTGTTCTTTAAAAAGAAAGCATGCATTGAAATTTAGACATAGAAAAGAGATGAAACATTGTTTTACAATTCTAGTCTGCATTATTCTTCTGAAAAGACAAATTTGCCCTTTTCCTACCTATTTTAAAAGTGTGAAATTATTAATGTCTAAAGAAAATTTAAATCATGTTTTTGCTTTCTCTTAATGCCCCTCTTTTTTTCCCTTCTGTGAATTGCACATGTACACACACCAGAGACACTCAAAATGCACACTGATTTCAAGTTGGTGTCCCCAGGATGCCAGTCTCTTTAACGTATAATTAAAGAGGTTGATGGTGTCAAGGTTTTAATTAAGCAGTCTTGATTTTTTTATTTTGATGCAAATTAGTAAGCTTTGTGTTTTGAAAGAAATTGCATGCTGTAGTTGCTCAATTGTAATGTTTTGATTTTAAATAAAATATGTAGGTGATTTCAGAGGTTTACAAAGAGGATATGAAAAATGAAAGTGCATGTCTCATTTAAAAGTTTATGCTTTAAGCATACATTTGATACACCATAAGGTAATGTGAAACATCCACATATCACACATTCAAAACTGGATAAAGAAATGCATGTTTCTCTCTATTCATTACACTTCAGAACTATCATCACTCTAGTGAATTTTAAGAAAGCACATGAACTTATTTTAATTTGTATTTTTCACATATATTTCTAATACTGTGTATGAACATTAAATAGATCCAGCAACAGAATCGCAAAAGCACCCATAGGTTCTTGAGTATATAAAAATAATTCTCAAAGGAAATCTAGAAACAGCCTGTTATTATCCCAGTTTTACAGATGAGCTTACAAGGTTATGTTACTTGCCCAAGTTCACTCATGAAAATGATGGTTCTTAGCAGTTGCTAGTGGGCCAGAGTAAAATTTCTCCTAGAGTAAGATTCATACGTTTAAATTTTGCGATCAGTGCAGCTGACATACCCTAATATGAGCACTACATTAATTCAAGTTTATAGATCCAATTACTGCAAGAAAAGAAAATAACCTAATGTGTTAAACTAAGATCAAAGATCCCCAACTGTGTTTTCAAGTTGATTTGAACCACAATGTTTGAGTGATTCTTATGCCTCTTCATGGAGATTCCTGTTTATACATACAGAATAGACTCGAACACTGCAGGTCCCACTGCCCATATGCAGTGCCTAGCACAGTGTCTAGCACATGGCAAATAAATACTCAAAAAATTTTAAAAGATAAATGAATCAATAAATAAATCCCCAAGTTCTAGCTGGAATTTAGACAAACACATAATTAGCTATTTCCATAAACCTCATTTATCATATGGTAACAACATAGGAAGACTAGAGGCTTTCTGCAGATCCCATAATAATCAATTATTTTACATCTGACCCAGTTAATAGCCAGGAAAATACTTGCTGCACCTAATGTGTTGCATTTTAATGTAAGGAGATTATGGAAAGAGAAAACAGAAATACAAGAAGTCAGAATTTATTCAAAAAAAATCCCTGTGTGAGTTGCTCCATTCTAACCCCACCCAACTCTACTACTCATATTCATGCCCAAAACCCACATAATTATACCCTATAAGGTCACATGTGGTGGTAGTTATAATAACAATAATAGTAATAATAATCATTCTGTTGATTTGTCAAGCTATACCTGTAAGAGCCCTTTAGAATAAACACTCATTACATGTCTATTATTTTCAAGTGCTAGATGAGTTTTGAGAAGTGAGTAAGAAAACAGTGTCTCCACCATCAAGACCTTATCTAGTTGGAGAAAGAAGCATATAAGCAACTAACTATAACACAAAAATTAGTGTTATGTATCATGAAGAAAATATAAATAAACAGCATAGGGAGTGATCAAGAAGGAGCAATTTTGGCTAAAAATTTTGGGAAGGCCTCAAGTAGAAAGCAAACATTATTTCAACCAGGCACGGAGGCATGTGTCTGTAGTCCCAGCTACTCAGGGGGCTGAGAAAGGAGGATTGCTAGAGCCCAGGAATTCAAGGCCAGCTTGGGGAACATAGTGATATTTCATCTCTAAAAGAAAGAGAGAGAGAGGAGGAAAGGCAGGCAGGCGAGGGAGGAAGAGAAGGCAAGAAGAAAGAAAGAGAAGGGAAGAAAAGAAAGGAAGGAAGGAGAAAGAGGGAGGGAGGAAGGAAGGAAGGAAGGAAGGAAGGAAGGAAGGAAGGAAGGAAGGAAGGAATCCATTATCTCATTTGGATCTCCTCATTTAAGAGAATTCATTATCTCATTTGGTTCTCCTCATCAAGCTGTTAGCTAAGGCATCAGGGCAAGTATTGTGATATTCATTTATCAGTCTTCATGGGATGAAAACTAGGAAATAGTACCCAGCTCTAATTCTTAATCTATATCCTTTCCTCTGTGGTCGATTTGTTTTGTTTTTATGAATAGCTCACACATGTATTACTGCCATTAGAAAGAAACTTTCTACAATTTATCTTAGAAGCTATCTAGTGCTTACTAAATGCCAAGAATTGCTGTAAGCCCTTTACATTTATTAAGTTATTAAATTGTCAAACAACTCCTTGAGATAATTATTCTTATTGTATAAACGAGAAAACTGAGGCACAGAGAGGTCAATTTGCCCACAGTTACCCAGCCATAAGTGGCAGAGCCAGGATTTGAAGCTAAGCAGTCTGATTTCAGAGTCCAAGCTCCTAAACTGTATTATCTCTTTTTAGGTCTTAAGCAGCACCAAGCAGAGTACTCTGCTCTGGTCTTTGTGGCTTTTAAGTAAAAACTATTGATTAATGCAAAATCAGTCAATGGAATGCCTTGAACAAAGTCTGATTCATTAACAGGCAAATATTACTGGAACTTTAAAGGTCACCAAGCACAGATTAGAAAACAGTAAGCTTCCAAGATCAACAAAGTTCCCAGTGCTAGTACAACATTTTTGACAGTACAATGGCTATTCATTCAGTGTGCATTTCTGAGCAGATGACTAAAACAGCATAAATTATCACTGTCCTATTTTGCATTTCTAGCCATTTGGATTCTTCAAATGTCAATACCACTCTTAAGAATACTCAAAAGAAACAATGTCACGACCTATATCAAACCCAAACAGATCCAATACTGGTTTTGGAAATGTTTTAAAGTTCAAAAATGTAAAATAAGAAAATAAAAATAAACCATCAGAGACTTTTTTCAAAATCTGAAACATTTTTACCCAAAGCAAATAGACATTTTTGAACAAGATTTGCTCTTCTTAAAAATAAGTGCCCAAGATTACTTAAACTTTGAAAAATAATATCTTATGTAAAAGCACCTTTATTTTTCAAAATTTAACTTTACAGAGATGAATGAATTCGGTATAATTTGAATCTAGCTGGAAAAATGTGGTAATTTATCCTACTATCACGTTGGCTATCTACTTTAAAGCTTTTGAAAATATTGGGATTTAGAATTATTTATTTTCTCATTTTCCTCAAATGTTTCTCTCATCATAAAAGTCAATGTGATCGATTTTTTTCTTTAATTGAAAATGGTTAGTTTTCTTTGATAATTTACAGAGCTTTTATAAAACTCCTCTGAAAAAAAAAATTGCCATCACACCTAAGTGTTACAAACAAAAGCTAGAAATCATTTGAAAGTCTGTGTGACATGGCAGGGCAACAAGCCTTCCTGATAGTGGATCTTGTCGTTCTCATAACAGAATCTGACACAGGTGCAAGGACATGATTCTTGGAATCTAGGTAAACTGCAATGGAAGGCAGCCCACAGAAAATAGTGCACCATTCTCTTTGCCAAATCCTCACATTCTGGAAGTTATAAGTCAGTTTCAGAAAAATTGCTGCAAGTTTATTCAAAACAAACCTTCAATTAGTGCATCTTCATAGTCTTTGCAAATAATTAATTTTCAGAAAAGAGTAACAATGATATTATAGAGGGGTGATCTGTGTTTCAACTACAATATCTCATCCTGAATCCTTCACAGAAACAATGATTATAATCCTGTCAGAAAAGGATTGGGTCATTGTGATTACAGACATTTTTTTTAATCATCAGGAATATTTTCTGTTTATTTTCAGAAAAAAATATATGTGTCAATTGTCATAGAATACTTTATGGAAGCTGTGGTCGTCTTCAAATCAAAATGCAAAACGTTCAAAGATGAAAGGTTCTGGTAACTAAGGGATGGTCAAATTGGTAGGATAAGGGAGAATTAAGACACAGGACAGTTTTCCAGTTTTATAACCAGCTGAAAGCCTCTGTTTTCAGACTCTGGGCTTTTCTTGATGGTATTTATAAGCAATTTGTATTAGTACATGGAAAACTGTGTCTGAAAGCTCTCAGATATTACTGGAAGACTGGAGACAGAAAAAATAAGAAGCAATAAAATAATCAGCAAATAGTTAAATTACTAGCTTAAAAATCAATTAATACTTGCATTTTTTCTTATACCTCTCTTAGCTATGGGTCTGTTTCCTTATAAAAATTATTTTTACATGTTTGTTTGGTGATTAGGCCAACAAATGGCAAATGCATATTGAAAGAAGAAAATCTAAAGTAATTCAGCTTTTAGAAGACAGAAATCCAGAGAATTACTGTGGAAGCCTAACTTGAAAATGAGGTGGTGACATCAGTTCCTTTGATGCTGCTACACTTCACATGTGGACAGGCAGAAGGATGATACAGACTCAGGGTTCATCTTCACTCCAGTGCATAGGCTAAGAGAGGCTCCATCTCCATGCTTCTGACATTGCCAAGGGAAAAAAAATGATCTGGCCAACTGAATTGTAGCTCCTAAAGCTCCTGCCTAAAAGTGGCAAAAGTTCCCTCCATTCACATTTCATTTACCAAAACAAGTGACGTGGTTACAACTAACCTCAGGGGAACAGGGATATGCGATGGTACCATATGGCCAGCAGAACTGGAAATATTTCACGTATAGCACTGCCTACTACAATAGATCTTTTACATAGTATTTCTTGTTACAGAATAAACTGAAGGCTAAGATTTACCAAAAATATTTTGGGTGATTCTCATCAATTTTGTAATTTTTTTATGTGGTTGTTTGGCTGTAAGTTCTTTGTTATTGCGTCTTTGGCTCAGAGTAATATGTGTGTACATATTTAAAAAATCAATCTTGCCCGGGCACGGTGGCTCACGCCTGTAATCCCAGCACTTTGGGAGGCCGAGGCGGGCGGATCACGAGGTCAGGAGGTGGAGACCATCCTGGCTAACACGTGAAACCCCGTCTCTACTAAAAATACAGAAAAAATTAGCCGGGCGTGGTGGCGGGCGCCTGTAGTCCCAGCCAGTCGGGAGGCTGAGGCAGGAGAATGGCAGGAACCCGGGAGGCGGAGCTTGCAGTGAGCCGATATCGCGCACTGCACTCCAGCCTGGGTGACAGAGCGAGACTCTGTCTCCAAAAAAAAAAAAAATCAATCTTTTACTATTGTTTCCTAAATAATTGCATTGTAATTAGAAATTATGGTCTGTATAAATCTGATTCCTTGAAATTGATGGGACTTCCTTTGTGGCTTAGTACATTATGAATATATGGAAATGTTCAATTTGTACTGGAGCAGCAGTATGTCTACATGCTATTTGTTAGGTGCAGGGTACCTACACACATATAATAATTCATATAAATATATTTATCTAAATGTATAATATTTATATAGATACATAACTTATGTATATTTGTTTGAAATCAAATTGCCTACTTATGTTATTCAAATCTTCTGTAGTCCTACTCATTATCAATTACTGAAAGAAAAGTATTTAAATGTGCTATTATGGTAATGTATACGTAAAAATATGTGTTTATTGTTTTACATATTTTATGCATACATGTTCATGATTTAGATATTCTTTGAAGCATCCCAATTGTTATTATGTAATGTTTCTTGTTCAATTACTTTTACCTTAAAATATATTCCATCTAACAATAATATTAATGTTGCTACTTCAGCTTTCTTTTAGGTAGTAATTTTAATCTTCGGATCTTTCTAAGTTGCTTTGTTTTAGAAGTGATTTGCATAAGGTGAATATAATTGGATTTTATCATTCAATCTTATATCTCTGTTATTTATTAGGTATTTACATTTATTGTAATAATTGCTATTTCTGAACTTATTTTTATCAGAATATTTTGTTTTCACTACACTTTGTCCCCCTTTCTACCTTTCCTTGGAGTTTTAAATTTATATATTTCATTTTTTCCCTCTGCTCATCCAAATGCTATGAATTTTATTTCTGTTACTTGCAGTTACCCTTCATTTTTTAAGAATCATGTTCAAGAATAAATTTTTCTAACAAATTTTCAATTTATGTCCTTGTATGAATAGAACAGGGATTTTAGAATTCATTAACACTTTTTCTGTATACTTACTATTGCCTAGATTTTTACTTTCACCTCTTTTGAGGTGACACTCATACACACACAAATAGTTATTTTAACAGTAAATAAACTACTGGTTTAAAAAATCAATTTATACGCATTTTTTCTTTTATCTCTTTCTTACTTCTGGGTGTGTTTCCGTTTCCTTTTTATAAAAATTATTTTTATGTTTCTTTGTTTGTTTTTAGTAAGGGTCTGTGGAAAAATGTATGTATTCTACCTTCATCCTTGAATGTGCTTTAGCTAGAAATAAAATTCTGGGTAGATAGATATTTCCCTAAGAATTTTAAAGACATAATTTTATCTCTTCTGGCATCTACTGGTAATAATAAGTTTAATTGTATGTCTCTATTCTCCCTGGTAGATTTTAAGAACATGTCTGTGTTTTGCTATTTCCTCATAATGTGTCTAATTATGCATTTACTTTTATTTATCTGGTATACATTTTCTTTTTTATGGGTGTACATTTAATGAGCACAAGTGCAGTTTTGTTACATGCGTATATTTGTTTAGTGGTGATGTCTTGGCTTTTAGTGTATCCATCACACCAATAATGTACATTGTACCCATTAAGCAATTTTTCATCATCCTACCCCTTTTGGCCTCCTACTCTTCTGAGTCTCTACTTTCTATCATTCCACACTCTATGTCCATGTGTACACGTTATTTAGCTCCCACTTATAAGTGAGAACATACAGTATCTGACTTTCTGTTTCTGAGTTGCTTCACTTAAGATAATGGCCTCCAGTTCCATCCATGTTGCAACAGAAGATATGATTTCATTCCTTTTTATGACTAAATACTATTTCATTGTATATATATATACCACATTTTAATTCAGTCTGTTGATGATGGACACTCAGGTTGATTCCATATATTTACTAGTGTGAATAGTACTGCAATAAACATGGGAGTGTTGGTATCTTTTTCATATAATGATTTCTTTCCTTTCAGTAGATACCTAGTAGGATTGCTGGACTGAATGGTAGTTCTATTTTTAATTCTCTGAGAAGTCTCCATAATGTTTTCTGTACAGATTTTACTAATTTACTTTCCACCAACTTTGTATAAGCATTCTGTTTTCTCTACATCCTTGCTGACATCTTTTATTTTTGACTTTTTAATGATAACCATTCTGATTGATGTAAGATAGTATCTCATTGTGATTTTAATTGGTATTTTTTTGATGATTAGTGATGTTAAGCATTTTTTTCATATGCTTATTGGTCATTTCTATGTCTTCTTTGGAAAATTGTCTATTCTCATCCTCTGTCCACTTTTTAATGGGGTTATTTTTATTGTTGTTGTTGAGTTTTTTGGGTTCCTTGTAAATTCTGGATAACAGTCCCCTGTTGGATGCATAATTTGCAAATATTTCCTCCCATTCTACAGGTTGTCTGTTCACTTGTTGAATATTTATTTTGCTGTGCAGAAGCTTTTAGTTTAATTAACTCGAGTTTGCCTATTTTTGCTTTAGTTACTTGTACTTCTTAGGTCTTAGTCATAAATTATTTGCCGAGACCAATGTCCAGAAGACTCTTTCCTTGGTTTTCTTCTAGTATTTTTATAATTTCAGGTCTTACATTGGAACCTTTGATCCATCTTGAGTTTGTTTTTGTATATAGTGAGAGATAGGGGTCCAGTTTCATTCTTCTGCATATAGCAATCCAATTTTCCCAGGACTATTTATCAAAAAGGCTATCTTTTCCCAGTGTGTATTCTTGTCAACTTTGTCAAAGATTAGCTGGCTCTAGATATGTGCATTTATTTCTAGGTTCTTGATTCTGTTCCATTGATCTATATGTTTGTTTTTATACCTGTACCATGCCATTTTGATTACTGTAACAATGTAGTATAATTTGAGTCAGGTATGTGATGCCTCCAGCTTTGTTCTTTTTGCTCAGGATTGCTTTGATTTTATTCAAGCTCTTTTTTGGTTCTATATGAATGTTAGGATATCTTTTCCTAATTCTGTGAAAAATGATGATATTTTAACAGGGATTGCATTGAATCTGTAGATTGCTCTCTGCAGTATGGATATTTTAACAATATTAATTCTTCCAATCTATGAGCATGGGATGTTTCTCCATTTGCTTGTGTCATCCACAATTTCTTTCATCAGTAGATTCCCTTGTAGAGATCAATTGCCTCCTTGGTTAAATATATTCCTTTTTTTTTGTAGTTATTCAAAATGGAATTGCTCATTTGGTTTCTCAGCTTGATCATTATTGGTGTGTAGAAATGCTACTCATTATTGGTGTGTAGAAATGTGTATAGAGTTTTGTACATTGACTTTTTATCCTGAAATTTTACTGAATTCATTTATCAAATCTAAGAGTTTTTTGGTAAAGTCTTAAGGTTTCTTAGATATAAGATTATATCATCAGAGAAAAGAGATAACTTCACTTCCTCTTTTCTTATTTGAATGCCTTTTATTTATTTCTCTTGCCTGATTGCTCTGGCTCAGACTTCTAGTACTATGTTAAATAGGAGTGGTAAAAGTGGGCATGCTTGTCTTGTTATAGTTCTTAGGGGTAATGCTTTCAACTTTTCCCTATTGATTATGATGTTAGCTGTGGGTTTGTCATATATGGCCTTTATTATTTTGAGGAGTGTTCCTTCTATGCCTAGTTTGTTGAGGGTTTTTAGTCATGAAATTTGGTGTCAAAATGATACCAAATTTTATCAAATGCTTTTTCTGCACCTATTGAGGTGATCATAAGCTTTTTGTCCTTAATTCTGTTTATGGGATGAATCACATTTATTGATTTGTGTATGTTGAACCATTCTTGCATCCCTAGAATAAGCCCTTTCTGACCATGGTGTATTGTCTTTTGATGTACTGTTGGATTCAGTTAGCTAGTATTTTGCTGAGGATTTTTGCATCTGTGTTCATCAGGGATATTGGTCTATAGTTTTCTTTTTCTGTTATATCCTTCTCTGGCTTTGGCGTCAGGATGATACTGGCTTCATAGAATGAGTTAGGGAGTTTAGTGCTATAAATTTCCCTCTACACACTGCTTTGAATGCGTCCCAGAGATTCTGGTATGTTGTGTCTTTGTTCTTGTTGGTTTCAAAGAACATCTTTATTTCTGCCTTCATTTCATTATGTACCCAGTAGTCATTCAGGAGCAGGTTGTTCAGTTTCCATGTAGTTGAGCGGTTTTGAGTGAGATTCTTAATCCTGAGATCTAGTTTGATTGCACTGTGGTCTGAGAGATAGTTTGTTATAATTTCTGTTCTTTTACATTTGCTGAGGAGAGCTTTACTTCCAAGTATGTGGTCAATTTTGGAATAGGTGTGATGTGGTGCTGAAAAAAATGTATATTCTGTTGATTTGGGGTGGAGAGTTCTGTAGATGTCTATTAGGTCCGCTTGGTGCAGAGCTGAGTTCAATTCCTGGGTATCCTTGTTGACTTTCTATCTCGTTGATCTGTCTAATGTCGACAGTGGGGTGTTAAAGTCTCCCACTATTAATGTGTGGGAGTCTAAGTCTCTTTGTAGGTCACTCAGGACTTGCTTTATGAATCTGGGTGCTCCTGTATTGGGTGCATATATATTTAGGATAGTTAGCTCTTCTTGTTGAATTGATCCCTTTACCATTATGTAATGGCCTTCTTTGTCTCTTTTGATCTTTGTTGGTTTAAAGTCTGTTTTATCAGAGACTAGGATTGCAACCCCTGCCTTTTTTTGTTTTCCATTTGCTTGGTAGATCTTCCTCCATCCTTTTATTTTGAGCCTATGTGTGTCTCTGCACATGAGATGGGTTTCCTGAATACAGCACACTGATGGGTCTTGACTCTTTATCCAATTTGCCAGTCTGTGTCTTTTAATTGGAGCATTTAGTCCATTTACATTTAAAGGTAATATTGTTATGTGTGAATTTGATCCTGTCATTATGATGTTGGCTGGTTATTTTGCTCATTAGTTGATGCAGTTTCTTCCTAGTCTCGATGGTCTTTACATTTTGGCATGATTTTGCAGCAGCTGGTACCGGTTGTTCCTTTCTATGTTTAGCACTTCCTTCAGGAGCTCTTTTAGGTCAGGCCTGGTGGTGACAAAATCTCTCAGCATTTGCTTGTCTGTAAAGTATTTTATTTCTCCTTCACTTATGAAGCTTAGTTTGGCTGGATATGAAATTCTGGGTTGAAAATTCTTTTCTTTAAGAATGTTGAATATTGGCCCCCACTCTCTTCTGGCTTGTAGAGTTTCTGCCAAGAGATCCGCTGTTAGTCTGATGGGATTCCCTTTGAGGGTAACCCGACCTTTCTCTCTGGCTGCCCTTAACATTTTTTCCTTCATTTCAACTTTGGTGAATCTGACAATTATGTGTCTTGGAGTTGCTCTTCTCGAGGAGTATCTTTGTGGCATTCTCTGTATTTCCTGAATCTGAATGTTGGCCTGCCTTGCTAGATTGGGGAAGTTCTCCTGGATAATATCCTGCAGAGTGTTTTCCAACTTGGTTCCATTCTCCCCATCACTTTCAGGTACACCAATCAGACGTAGATTTGGTCTTTTCACATAGTCCCATATTTCTTGGAGGCTTTGCTTGTTTCTTTTTATTCTTTTTTCTCTAAACTTCCCTTCTCACTTCATTTCATTCATTTCATCTTCCATCGCTGATACCCTTTCTTCCAGTTGATTGCATCGGCTCCTGAGGCTTCTGCATTCTTCACGTAGTTCTCGAGCCTTGGTTTTCAGCTCCATCAGCTCCTTTAAGCACTTCTCTGTATTGGTTCTTCTAGTTATACATTCTTCTAAACTTTTTTCAAAGTTTTCTACAAGGCTACAGTAACCAAAACAGCATGGTACTGGTACAAAAACAGAGATATAGATCAATGGAACAGAACAGAGCCCTCAGAAATAACGCCGCATGTCTACAACTATCTGATCTTTGACAAACCTGAGAAAAACAAGCAATGGGGAAAGGATTCCCTATTTAATAAATGATGCTGGGAAAACTGGCTAGCCATATATAGAAAGCTGAAACTGGATCCCTTCCTTACACCTTATACAAAAATTAATTCAAGATGGATTAAAGACTTACATGTTAGACCTAAAACCATAAAAACCCTAGAAGAAAACTTAGGCAATACCATTCAGGACATAGGCATGGGCAAGGACTTCATGTCTAAAACACCAAAAGCAATGGCAACAAAAGCCAAAATTGACAAATGGGATCTAATTAAATTTAAGAGCTTCTACACAGCAAAAGAAACTACCATCAGAGTGAACAGGCAACCTACAAAATGGGAGAAAATTTTCGCAACCTACTCATCTGACAAAGGGCTAATATCCAGAATCTACAATGAACTCAAACCAATTTACAAGAAAAAACAAACAACCCCATCAAAAGGTGGGCGAAGGACATGAACAGACACTTCTCAAAAGAAGACATTTATGCAGCCAAAAAACACATGAAAAAATGCTCATCATCACTGGCCATCAGAGAAATGCAAATCAAAACCACAATGAGATACCATCTCACACCAGTTAGAATGGCAATCATTAAAAAGTCAGGAAACAACAGGTCCTGGAGAGGATGTGGAGAAATAGGAACACTTTTACACTGTTGGTGGGACTGTAAACTAGTTCAACCATTGTGGAAGTCAGTGTTGCGATTCCTCAGGGATCTAGAACTGGAAGTACCATTTGACCCAGCCATCCCATTACTGGGTATATACCCAAAGGACTATAAATCATGCTGCTATAAAGACACATGCACACGTATGTTTATTGCGGCATTATTCACAATAGCAAAGACTTGGAACCAACCCAAATGTCCAACAATGATAGACTGGATTAAGAAAATGTGGCACATATACACCATGGAATACTATGCAGCCATAAAAAATGATGAGTTCATGTCCTTTGTAAGGACTTGGATGAAATTGGAAATCATCATTCTCAGTAAACTATCGCAAGAACAAAAAACCAAACACCGCATATTCTCACTCATAGATGGGAATTGAACAATGAGAACACATGGACACAGGAAGGGGAACATCACACTCTGGGGACTGTTGTGGGGTGGGGGTAGGGGGGAGGGATAGCATTGGGAGATATACCTAATGCTAGATGATGAGTTAGTGGGTGCAGTGCACCAGCATGGCACATGTATACATATGTAACTAACCTGCACATTGTGCACATGTACCCTAAAACTTAAAGTATAATAATAATAATAAAAAAAGAAACATCTTTCCATGGTAACAAATGTACTTCTAAAGCATTAGTTTTAATGGATCTGTGATGAAGAAATACAATTTATTTAATCTTGTGCTTAGGACACACAGGAGACACATACCTTAATCTTCCATAAGGATAAAATCTCTGCAGTTCTACTGAAAACTCATAGTCCTTATATAAGCTTTCTAAAACTCATCTTCCTGATATTGAAAATAGTGATATAATTCTTGTTATAATTTATTGAGTATTGGATACAAATGCTTTCATTCAATGTATTAATAATAAGTATTGCCTTCCCATTTTACCAATGAAAAAATTAAAACTATATATTCGTTAACTAGCAAGTCAAGGTAAGAATTATAAGGAAAGTATGTTGAACACTGTATCCTGTATAATAAACCATCCTGTTATTAGTAAAAAAAAAAAAAAAAAAAAAAAAAAAGAATGAGTTAGGGAAAATTCCCTTCTTATGTAATTTTTGGGGAAAATTTCAGCAGGATTGGTACCATTTCTTCTTTATTTGCTTAATAGAATTTGGTTGTGAATCTATCTGGTTCTGGGCTTCTTTTTTGTTGGAAGATTTTTTTATTACTAATTCAATCTCACTACTCATTATTGATCTGTATAGAATTTGTATTTCTTCCTGGTTCAGTCTTGGGAGGTTGTATGTTTCCAGGAATTTATCCATTTTCTCTAGATTTGCTGGGTTATGAGCATATAGTTGTGCATAGTAGTCACTGATAATATTTTGTATTTCTGGGGTATTCGTTGTAATGTCTCTTTTTTCATTTCTGATTATGTTAATCTGGATCTTCTCTCTTCTTGGTTAGTCTAGCTAGTGGTATATCAATTTTGTTTATCTTTTCAAAGAACCAACTTTTGTATTTTTTTATATTTGTATTTTTTTGTCTCAATGTCATTTAATTCTGCTCTGTTCTTTGTTATTTCTTTTCTTCAGCTAGCTTTAGGTTTGGTTTGTTTTTGGTTTTATAATTCCTTGAAGTTCAACATTAGGTTGTTAATTTGTAATCTTTCTATTTTTATGTAGACATTTGACACTATAAACTTGTATCTTAGTACTGCTCTTGCTGTATCCTAGAGGTATTGATATGTTGTGTGTCATTCATTTCAAAAATTTTTAAATTTCTGTCTTAATTTCATCATGGACCCAAAGTTCCTTCAGGAGTATGTTGTTTAATTTTCATGTATTCGTATAGTTTCCAGAGTTCCTCTTGGTATTGATTTCTAGTTTTATTCTGCTGTCGTTTGGGAAGATACTTGATATGATTTTAATTTTTTTCAATTTATGGAGACTTTTGTGGCTTAATATATGGTCTGTCTTTGAGAATGTTCCATGTGCCAATGAGAAGAATGTATATTCTACAATTGTTGGGGAAAACGTTCTGTATATATCTATTAGGTCAATTTGGTCAAAAGTCTAATTTAAGTAGAGTGTTTCTTTGTTGATTTTCTGTCTCAATGATCTGTCTAGTGCTGTCAGTAAGGTATTGAAGTCCCCCACTATTATTGCACCTTATTCTTTAGGTCTAGTAATATTTGTTTTATGAATCTGGGTGCTATGGTGTTTGAAGCATACATATTTAGGATTATTTTATTCTCTTATTGAATATATCCTTTATAATTTTATAATGCCTTTCTTTTTTGTTTGTTTGTTTTTTACTGTTTTGAATTGAAATCTGTTTTATCTGTATAAGTATAGCTACTCCTGCTCAGTTTTGGTTTCCATATGTGTTGAATATATTTTTCCACCCCTCTACTTTCAATGTATCTATATTTTTAACCAATAAGATGAGTTTCTTGTAAGTGGTATATAGTTAGATCATGTTTTTAAATTCATTCTGCCAATATATATCTTTTAAGTGGAGCACTTAATCCATTTGCATTCAATGTTAATATTGATAGATAAGGTTTTATTCCTGTCATATTGTTCATTGTTATCTAGTTATCTGGTAAATTCTATTTTTTTTTCTCTGTTTGCTCAGTGGTTTGGTGGAGTTCTGTCATAGTGCCATTTGATTCCCCTATCTTCCTCCTGTGATTTGTAATTGTTGTATAAGACCTGAGAGTGTTTACTTTCGTGTATTTTTATAATGGCAAATATCACCTTTTTGTTTCAATATATTGGACTCCTTTAGCATTTCCTGTAGGTCCACTCTAGTGGTTATGAATTCTCTCAGTGTTTGCTTATCTGGGAATGACCTTATTTCCCCTTCATTTATGAAGCTTCTTTTAGCTGGATATAAAATTCATGACTGATAGTTTTGTTTTTGTTTTTTTTTCTTTTTTCTTTTAGCACTTTGAAAACAGCATACCATTCTCTTCTGGTATGGAAGGTTTCTAATGAGAAATCTGCTGTAGTTTGATGGGTTTCCTTTGTAGGTAACTAGACACTCGCAATTTTAGGATTTTTTTCTTCATATTGACTTAGACAGTCTGATTCCTATATGTCCTGGCAAAGTCTATTCTGCGATGTGTTTTGCTTGTGATCTTTGGGCATCCTATACCTGGATGTTTAAATCTCATGCTAGACTAGGGAAGTTTTCATCAATTGTTTCCTTAAGTAGTTTTTCTAAACTTTTTGCTTTTTTTTAATCCCTCAGGAATACCAAAGGATTGTAAGTTTTGTCACTTTATGTAGTCCCATACTTTTTGAAGGTTTTTTTTTTATTCTTTTAAATACTGTTTTATTTATTTTTCTTTGACTGGATTAATTCAAAAGACCTGTCTTCAAGTTCTGTGTCTCTTTCTCCTGCCTGGTCTAGTCTACTGTCGAAGCTTTTAGAAGTATTTTGTAATTACTTCAACGAATTTTTCTTTTCCAGGAGTTTTGTTTGTTTTTTAAGATATCTATCCCTTTGGTAAATTTCTTGTTCATATTTTGAATTGATTTTCTGATTTCTTTGTAATGGTTTTCAGATTTCTCTTGCATCTCACTGAGCTTCTTTAAAATCACTATTTTGAATTCTTTATCTGGCATTTTTTAGGATTTCTTTTTGGTTAGGATTTATTTCTGGAGAATTACTGTGTTGTCATAATACCTTACTTCTTAATATGATTATTTATTTTCATCTAAACAGTTGCTTATTTTTGAAATTACTTTCATTGGGGTGGGACCTTTTTTCCTTGAGGATGTGATTATGATATATGTTGAGTAGAGCCATTTGGCATTGCTTCTGGGTGTATTCAATGGTGAAGATCCTGTATTATTTCCTTGATTATAAATAGCCATATCAGTGTGGTGGTTTATCAAATGTTGGTTGTAGTAGTGGAGTACTGGACAGGTGAGCAGCCTCATCGACTCTTGAGTAGCCAGGGTGGCATGGGCAATGGTGATAGCAGCGGTCACAAGAAGCTTATCTCCTTCTCAAGTGCTGTGCATTTGTGTCAGCACATGCTGTGATGGGCTGTGCAGGTCAACCTCCAAGCCAGTAGGTAGTGGGTATTTGCAGGTAAGAGCAGCTGAAGTGGTAGCGATATGGTTTATGCTTGATTTTTGTTAACCAGAAGTACTTGGGTGTCCCAGGCAATGGGCTGGGCATGGAACACTCAGTGTTCTGGGTCCTGTGCTCAGCCATGGTGGGGAGTTTGATACTGGATGGAGCTGATCTTGGCAAGCCTGCACTCAGGTCCCCCAGTAGTGGTTGCAGGCACTAGCCCTGCTGGGGGGATCCAGAGGCAGTCACTATGCTGCTGGAGAAATGCCTGGGCAAGGAGCAGAGCAACCACTGCTGCACCAAAGTCCCAGGAACAGGAGCAGAGAGTGACGCTGCCACCAAGGTCAGATAAACAGGAATGAGACAGGTCTCTCCCTCACTCTCTAGACCCAATTGGGCTCACTCTCCAGACCCAATCGGGCTCACTCTCCTTTCCCTACCAATGGAGCCAGTTGGAACATTTAGTCACATGCAGTCTGCTTTCAGTCCTCAAGGCCATCCAAAGCTATAATACTCATCATCTGAGCCAAAACCATGCCTCTCAGGCAAATCTCCCTCTGCTCTCGTCCCACGAAAAGGGGGTGCCCAATTCCAGTGCCCATGGCTGGAGCCCACACTCCACTCATCTCTCAGTTCTGGCTGTGGGGCCCCTCCTCTGCTTGAAACCCAGTACTCCAATATCCAGACTGAAACTCTTATGCCAACAGCTGCCACTGCTGCTAAATTCCAGGATTCTGCATGGCTTGCTGTGAGCTAGCATCAAGAATGGCACTGTCCTGTCAGCACCCAGGCCTGAGAAGATGCTTTGGAGGCATTCCAGGGCCGTTTCTTCTCACAGTTTCCAGGCTGCTTCCCATGTTAGCTCTAGAGCTTAGGAGAGTCAAGGTCCTCTCCCATGGCTAGGGTTGCGCAGTTCTCCAGTGGAGAGATGAATCACAAAGAAACACTCACTCACCCTTTCCTGTACTGGGGATTCACTCACAGTTTTTAGCCAGACCCCACCATGCAGGCTGCCTGCCCACTTTCTCTTTCCCAGTATCTGAAATTGTCTTTCGCTTTTCTGTTGAATTCTCATGTTTCTTCTTGAATGAAATTTCACAGTATGACTCTCTACACACTATTTTGCTTCTTCCAAGTGAGTGAGACATGCTACAAAAGCCTCTAATCTACCATCTTGGAAAAACAAAAACAAAAACAAAACACCGGAGTGTATTTTCTGACTGCTGATGTCTTTCATCAACTCTGAAAATTCTCAGTTTTTATCTCATTTCTTGTTGCTTCTGCCTTTTTCTCCATTCTTTTCTGCAGCGGTGGGGAGGGGGGTGGAATTTCATGGTTGTGTCTGTGTTTATTCACTCATTCATTTATTTATATCTATCTCTATATCGATATATCTTTATATCTCTTAATTAATCTTTCAAAATTTTTCCTCTTATTCTCTCTGCTAAATTCTTGGTGAATTCATTGGTATTGCCCCTCAATCTATTTGTATTACTTTGATAATTCCAGTTTAGAGTTTGTCCAGTCTACTGAGTTGTAAAAATTACTTTTGTATGATTTCCCGTTTCCTTGAATCATGCTATCACTTTATGTATCTCTTTGTTGACTTTAAACATACATGTTCTAAAGTATTTTTTAAATGGCACTTTTTAAAAAATTTTATTATTATTATACTTTAAGTTTTAGGGTACATGTGCACAATGTGCAGGTTAGTTACATATGTATACATGTGCCATGTTGGTGTGCTGCACCCATTAACTCGTCATTTAGCATTAGGTATATCTCCTAATGCTATCCCTCCCCCCTCCCCCCACCCCACAACAGTCCCCGGTGTGTGTTGTTCCCCTTCCTGTGTCCATGTGTTCTTATTGTTCAATTCCCACCTATGAGTGAGAACATGCGGTGTTTGGTTTTCTGTCCTTACGATAATTTGCTGAGAATGCTGGTTTCCAGTTTCATCCATGTCCCTACAAAGGACATGAACTCATCATTTTTTATGGCTGCATAGTATTCCATGGTGTATATGTGCCACATTTTCTTAATCCAGTCTATCGTTGTTGGACATTTAGGTTGGTTCCAAGTCTTTGATATTCTGAATAGTGCCGCTATAAACATACCTGTGCATGTGTCTTTATAGCAGCATGATTTATAATCCTTTGGGTATATACCCAGTATATACCCAAAGGATGACCCAGTATATATCCAAAGGATGGGTCAAATGCTATTTCTAGTTCTAGATCCCTGAGGAATCGCCACACTGACTTCCACAAGGGTTGAACTAGTTTACAGTCCCACCAACAGTGTAAAAGTGTTCCTATTTCTCCACATCCTCTCCAACATCTGTTGTTTCCTGACTTTTTAATGATCACCATTCTAACTGGTGTGAGATGGTATCTTATTGTGGTTTTGATTTGCATTTCTCTGATGGCCAGTGATGATGAGCATTTTTTCATGTGTTTTTTGGCTGCATAAATGTCTTCTTTTGAGAAGTGTCTGTTCATATCCTTTGCTCACTTTTTGATGGGGTTGTTTGTTTTTTTCTTGTAAATTGGTTTGAGTTCATTGTAGATTCTGGATATTAGCCCTTTGTCAGATGAGTAGGTTGCAAAAACTTTCTCCCATTCTGTAGGTTGCCTGTTCACTCTGATGGTAGTTTCTTTTGCTGTGTAGAAGCTCTTAAGTTTAATTAGATCCCATTTGTCAATTTTGGCTTTTGTTGCCATTGCTTTTGGTGTTTTAGACATGAAGTCTTTGCCCATGCCTATGTCCTGAATGGTATTGCCTAGGTTTTCTTCTAGGGTTTTTATGGTTTTAGGTCTAACATGTAAGTCTTTAATCCATCTTGAATTAATTTTTGTATAAGGTGTAAGGAAGGGATCCAGTTTCAGCTTTCTACATATGGCTAGCCAGTTTTCCCAGCACCATTTATTAAATAGGGAATCCTTTCCCCATTGCTTGTTTTTGTCAGGTTTTTCAAAGATCAGATGGTTGTAGATATGTGGCATTATTTCTGAGGGCTCTGTTCTGTTCCATTGATCTATATCTCTGTTTTTGTACCAGTACCATGCTGTTTTGGTTACTGTAGCCCTGTAGTATAGTTTGAAGTCAGGTAGCATGAAGCCTCCAGCTTCATTCTTTTGGCTTAGGATTGACTTGGTGATGTGGGCTCTTTTTTGGTTCCATATGAACTTTAAAGTAGTTTTTTCCAATTCTGTGAAGAAAGTCATTGGTAGCTTGATCGGGATGGCATTGAATCTATAAATTACCTTGGGCAGTATGGCCATAAAATGGCACTTTTATTTCTATTTTGTCTAAAATTATTATATTTCCCAAGGTTTGATTTTACTTTATATCTTTCTTGGTGTTAATTTTATTTGTATATTTTAGAATGTTGCTTTTTAGATCCACCTTGACTTGGTGCTATTTTTCTCTTATCTCTCTTCCTCCTCTCTGTTTAGAGTTTTTGTGGTTGCCTCAGCCCAGCCCCTAGGACTCATAGTCCAAAACCAGATCTTTTTCTAATGGCTCAGTGGTCTTATCCACCATGATATTGGGATAGTTTGGAGCTAGATGACATGTTGGCTAGGCTTGGTCTTGAAAGTTGAGTCTGTCCTGCTGTTTTTCCTAGTACTCCGATTCTTATAAGCTATACCTTTGGTCAGCAACTGGCAACACCTTTTTTTTCTGCCTGTTTTCCTGGGGTAGGAGAAAAAGAAAGGAGGGAGGAGAGAGACTTGCCACTCCACCCTACTTCTCCCTGGACCTGGAGACTGATATCCTTACTGCTTCTGCTGCTTCTGATACTGAGAAAGGCAGTCATGGGGCTTCAGTCCAACATTTCTCTTAAGTTCCTCATTCATAAAGAGTATTATCCTTTTTTAGAATTTTATATTATGCTTTGCTCCCATGGTTATACGTTTGGACGTGGAGGTCTGTGAGTGATTCAAAGTATAAACTTTGAATGTCCTTTTGACAAGAAGTCTACACTATTTTATTATCTATTTTTAAACAAGCTAAATATTGCATCCTAACCCCATGCCACAGTAGAGGTCGGACTACGTGTTTTCTCCCATGTTACAGCTTCAGTTCAACATTAGCCTCTAGTGCACACCATACGCTACTTAATCAGCATGCCTCATCCTCACTCAAAGAATAAGAGGAAGCTACAATGACTTTAAACTTCTCCCTCTTATACAAAAACAAAAAGATAAATTACATAAGACATTTTTCATATAAAAGAAAGATTACATTTTTTCACATTCATTCAGATATAGTGGTTTGATGTCCTGAATAAATTTGGAAGAGTGAAGTGGGCAGTGGTTGCAGCTTGCCTCTCTGCTACTGCCTCCTAGAAGTTGTAGCCTCATGACTATTGTTTCCGCATACTGGTCATCAGCTAGGAAAAGCCTATAAAAATAAAGCATTGTCTTACCCTCCTCCTCCCCACAAAAAAAAAAAAAACCCACTGTTTAATAGGAATTATAATGGATTTTGAAATCTAAGATAAATGATACTTCAAAAATAAACAGCTTAGAATCATACTTGTGATGTTGTTCTCCCTTTTTTTTGGCAAAGAATGGAATTGAGAAGATGAAGGAGGTTTACATTTGGACTTGTTTTAAATTTTAAGAAGCTGTTCTTTTAAATTTACCATCTGTTACTTCAATACTTCAAAGTGTCTATGGTAACTGTTCAGGGATACCAGACAGAACCATGGTGTAATTGGGTATGGCATGACCCCTACTGTGCCTTTCTCATGGAGGAAGACCAACTCATTGTGAGTCTCATCACATTACAAGAGAGTTTCCCTGCAAATATGTTAGCCTTCTGGTTAATGCACAGCAGAGATAAGAATTAGCCATAGACATTTTTATAAGCCATTTGAATTACAAGGTACTAATTCTGAGAAGAAAATTCTACCATCCTTCTGAGGTGAACCTCCATGCAAACTACAGTATTTCAACATTTTATGGCAGATCTTAAATAACACCAAGTAAATATGTTTAAGCCAAACAGTTAGTCTTTGATTAAGAAAGAATGATCCAGTTTGCAGATTCCATTGTTTTCTTGAGATACTTTTGAGTTGAAGAAATTACCAGAAATACACTGGGTTTTTTTAAACTTTTATTGTAAGTTCAGAGGTACATGTGCAGGATGTACAGGTTTGTTGCATAGGTAAAAGTGTGTCATGGGAATTTTTGTACAGATTATTTCATCACCCAAGTACTAGGTATCCATTAGTTATTCTTCCTTATCCCTCCTGCCACCTCTCTCCTCCCACACTCCACCCTTAGATAGACCCCAGTGTGTGTTGTTCCTCTCTATGTGTCCATGTGTTCTCATCCTTTCGCTTCCACTTATAAGGGAGAACATGCTGTATTTGGTTTTCTCTTCCTGCATTTGTTTGCTAAGGTTAATGACCCCCAGCTCCATCCATGTCCCTGCAAAGTACATGATCTCATTCTTTTTTATGGCTGCATAGTATTCCATAATGTATATGTACCACATTTTCTTTATCCAGTCTATCATTGGTGGATATTTAGGTTGATTCCATGTCTTCACTATTGTGAATGGGACTGCAGTGAACATACATGTGCATGTGTCTTTTAAAAATTTTCGATTTTTTTTTCTATAGGTTGTTGGGGTACAAGTGGCATTTGGTTACATGAGTGAGTTCTTTAGTGGTGATTTGTGAGATTTTGGTGCATCCAACACCTGAGCAGTATACACTGTACCCTATTTGTAGTCTTTTATTCCTCACTGCCCCCCCCGTCCTTCCCCCAAATCCCCAAAGTCCATCGTACATTCTTATGCCTTTGCATTCTCCTAGCTTAGTTCCCACATGTCAGTGAGAACGTACGATGTTTGGTTTTCCATTCCTGAGTTACTTAACTTAAAATAATAGTCTCCAATCTCATCCAGGTCACTGCAAATGCCGTTAATTCATTTCTTTTTATGGCTGAGTAGTATTCCATCATATATATATATATAATCAGCAGTTTCTTTATCCACTCATTGATTGATGGGCATTTGGGTTGGTTCCACGATTTTGCAATTGCGCATTGAGCTGCTATAAACGTGTGTGCAAGTATCTTTTTCATATAATGACTTCCTTTCCTCTGGTTAGATACCCAGTAGTGGGATTGCTGGATCAAATGGTAGTTCTACTTTTAGTTCTTTAAAGAATCTCCACACTGTTTTCTCTAATGGCTGTACTAGTTTACATTCCCACTAGCAGTGTAGAAGTGTTCCCTCATAACTGCTTCCATGCAGACATCTACTGTTTTTTTATTTTTTGATTATGGCCATTCTTGGAGGAGTAAGATGGTATCACACTGTGGTTTTGATTTGCATTTCCCTGATCATTAGTGATGTTCAGCATTTTTTCATATGTTTGTTGACCATTTTTATATCTTCTTTTGAGAATTGTCTATTCATGTTCTTAGCCCACTTTTTGATGGAATTGTTTGTTTTTTTTCTTATTTGTTTGAGTTCATTGTAGATTTTGGATATTAGTCCTTTGTCAGCTATATAGATTGTGAAGATTTTCTCCCACTCCACTGGCTGAATATTTACTCTGCTGACTGCTCTTTTTGCCATGCAAAAGTTATTTAGTTTAACTAAGTCCCACCGATTTATCTTTGTTTTTATTGCATTTGCTTTTGGGTTCTTGGTCATGAAATCCTTGACTAAGTCAATGTCTAGAAGGGTTCTTCCTATGTTATCTTCTGGAATTTTTATAGATTCAGGTTTTAGGTTTAAGTCCTTAATCCATCTTGAGTTGATTTTTGAATAAGGTGAGAGACGAGGATTCAGTGGTTAGCCAATCATCCCAGCAACATTTGTTGAAAAGGGTGTTCTTTCCCCACTTCATGTTTTTGTTTGCTTTGTCAAAGATCAGTTCGCTGTAAGTATTTGGGTTTCTTTCTGGGTTCTCTATTCGGTTCCATTGGTCTATGTGTCTATTTTTATACCAGTACTAGTAGTGTGAGGTAGTGTGATGCCTCCAGATTTGTTCTTTTTGCTTAATCTTGCTTTGGCTATGCAGGCTCTTTTTTGGTTCTGTATGAATTTTAGAATTTTTTTTTCTAATTATTTGAAGAATAATAGTGGTATTTTGATGGGGATTGTGTTGAACCTGTAGATTGCTTTTGGAAGTATGGTCATTTTCACAATATTAATTCTACCCATCCATGAGCATGGGATGTGTATCCATTCATTTGTGTCATCGATGATTTCTTTCGGCAGTGTTTTGTGGTTTTCTTTTGGAGGTCTTTTGCCTCCTTGGTTAGGTATATTCCTGAGTATTTTATTTTATTTGCAGCTGTTGTAAAGGGGGTTGAGTTCTTGATTTGATTCTCCTCTTGGCCGCTGTTGGTGTATAGAAGAGCTACTAATTTTTGTACGTTAATCTTGTGTCTGGAAACTTTGCTTCTTTTATCAGTTCTAGGGGCTTTCTGGAGGAGTCTTTAGGGTTTTTGAGTTAAACGATCATATCATCAGCAAACAGTGACAGTTTGACTTTCTCTTTACTGATTTGGATGCCCTTTATTTCTTTCTCTTGTCTGATTGCTCTGGCTAGGACCTCCAGGACCTTGCTGAAGAGAAGTGGTGAGAGTGGGGATCATTGCCTTGTTCCAGTTTTCAGAGGAAATGCTTTCAACTTTTCCCCATTCAGTATTATGTTGGCTGTGGGTTTGTCATAGATGGCTTTTATTACATTGAGGTATGTCCCTCGTATGCTGATTTTGCTGAGAATGTTAATCATAAAGGGATGTTTCATTTTGTCAAATGCTTTTTCCACATCAATTGAGATGATCATGTAATTTTTGTTTTTAATTCTGTTTATGTGGTGTATCACATTTATTGACTTGTGTATGCTAAACCATCCCTGCATCCTTGGTATGAAACCCACTTGATCATGGTGGATTATCTTTTTGATATGTTGTTGGATTCAGTTAACTAGCATTTTGTTAAGGATTTCAGCATCTATGTTCATCAGGGATATTGATCTGTAGCTTTCTTTTTTGGTTATATCCTTTCCTGATTTTGGTATTAGGGTGATGCTGGCTTCATAGAATTAATTAGGGAGGGTGCCCTCTTTCTCTATCTTGTGGAATAGTGTCAAAAGGACTGGTACCAATTCTTTGAATGTCTGGTAGAATTCTGCTGTGAATCCATCTGCTCCTGGACTTATTTTGTTGGTAATTTTTAAAATACCATTTCAATCTTGCTGCTTGTTATTGGTCTGTTTGGGGTATCTCATTCTTCCTGATTTAAGCTAGGAGGGTTGTATTTTTCCAGGAATTTATCTATCTCTTCTAGGTTTTCTAGTTTCTAGCCTTGAATGATCTTTTATATTTCAGTGGTGTCAGTTGTAGTATCTCCTGTTTAGTTTCTTAATGAGGTAATTTGGATTTTCTCTCTTCTTTTCTTGGTTAATCTTGCCAATGGTCTATCAATTTTATTTATCTCTTCAAAGAACCAGTTTTTGTTTCATTTTTTTGTTTGTTTCAATTTCATTTAGTTCTGCTCTGATTTTGGTTATTTCCTTTCTTCTGCTGGTTTGGGTTTGATTTGTTCTTGTTTCTCTAGTTGCTTGAGGTGTGACCTTAGAATGTCAGTCTGTGCTCTTTCAGTCTTTTTGACATAGGTGTTTAGGGCTATGAACTTTCTTCTTAGCACCGACTTTGCTGTATCCCAGAGGTTTAGATAGATTGTGCCATTATTATGATTCTGTTCAAAGAATTTTTTAATTTCCATCTTCCTTTCGTTTTTGACCCAATGCTTATTCAGGAGCAGGTTATTTAATTTCCATGTATTTGCATGGTTTTGAAGGTTCCTTTTGGAGTTGATTTCCAGTTTTATTCCACTGTGGTCTGAGAGAGTGCTTAATAAAATTTCAGCTTTCTTAAATTTATTGAGGCTTGTTTTATGGTCTATCATATGGTCTATCTTGGAGAGAGTTCCATGTGCTGTTGAATAGAATGTGTATTCTGTGGTTGTTGGATTAAATGTTCTGTATATATCTGTTAAGTCCTTTTGTTCCAAGGTATAGTTTAAATCTATTGTTTCTTTGTTGACTGTCTTGATGAACTGTCTAGTGCTGTCAGTGGAGTATTGAAGTCCTCCACTATTATGGTGTTGCTGTCTATCTCATTTCTTAGGGCTATTAGTAATTGTTTTATAAACTTGGAGCTCCAGTGTTAGGTGCATATATGTTTAGGATATATTTTCCTGCTGAACAAGGCCTTTTACTATTATACAATGTCCTTTGTCTCTTTTAACTGCTGTTGTTTTAAAGTTTGTTTTTTCTGATATAAGAACAGGTACTCCTGCTTGCTTTTGGTGTCCATTTGCATGAAATGCCTTTTTCCACCCCTTTATTTTAAGTTTATATGAGTCCTTATGTGTTAGGTGAGTCTCCTGAAGGCAGCAGATAGTTCTTTGGTGAGTTTTTATCCATTCTGTGGTTCTGTATCTTTTAAGTGGAGCATTTAGGCCATTTACATTCAATGCTAGTATTGAGATGTGAGGTACCATTGCATTCATCATGCTTTTTGCTGCCTGTGTACTTTGGTTTTTTCATTTTTGCTTTTTAACTTGTATTTGTGTTTTATAGGTCCTGTGTGATTTATGCTTTAAGGAGGTTCCATTTTGATGTGTTTCCAGGATTTACTTCAAGATTTAGAGTTCCTTTTAGCAGTTCTGGTAGTAGTGGCTTAGTAGTGGCGAATTCTCTCAGCATTTGTTTGTCTGAAAAAAACGGTATCTTTCCTTCATATATGATGCTTAGTTTCTCTAGATACAAAATTCTTGGCTGATAATTGTTGTATTTGAGGAGGCTGAAGATAGGGCCTCAATCTCTTCTAGCTTGCAGGGTTTCTGCTGAGAAATCTGCTGTTAAGCTGGTAGGTTTTCCTTTATAGGTTACCTGGTGCTTTTGTCTCACATCTCTTAAGATTCTTTCCTTCTTCTTAACTTTAGATAACCTGATGATAATGTGCCTGGACCACAATCTTTTTGTGATGAATTTTCCAAGTGTTCTTTGTACTTCTTGTATTTGGATATCTAGCTCTCTAGCAAGGCCAGGAAATTTTTCCTCAGTTATTCCTTCAAATATGTTTTCCAAGCTTTTAGGATTCTCTTCCTCCTCGGGAACACTGATTATTCTTAGGTTTGGTCGTTTAACATAATCCCAGACTCCTTGTAGGCTTTGTTCATATTTTCTTCTTCCTTTTCCTTGTCTTTGTTGGATTGGGTTAATTTGAAGACCTTATCTTCAAGCTCTGAATCCTCTTCTACTTGTTCAATTCTATTGCTGAGACGTTCCAGCACATTTCACATTTCTGCAAGTGTGTCCAACGTTTCCTGAGGTTTTGACAGTTTTTTCTTTATGCTATCTTATTTCCTTGAATATTTCTCCCTTCACTTCTTGCATCATTTTTTTGGATTTCCTTTAATTAGGCTTCACCTTTCTTTGGTGCCTCTCTGATTAGCTTAATTACTAACCTTCTGAATTATTTTTCAGGTAAATCAGGGATTTCTTCTTGGTTTGGATCCATTGCTGGTGAGCTAGTGTGATTTTTGGGGGGTGTTAAAGAGCCTTGTTTTGTCATATTACCAGAGTTGGTTTTCTGGTTCCTTCTCATTTGGGTAGGCTCTGTCCGAGGGAAAGTCTAGGGCTGAAGGATGTTGTTCAGATTCTTTTGTCCTGCAGGGTGTTCCCTTGATGTAGTACTCTCCCCCTTTTCCTGTGGATGTGGCTTCCTGTGAGCCAAGCTGCAGTGATTGTTGTCTCTCTTCTGGGTCTAGCCATCCAGCAAGTCCACCTGGCTCTGGGCTGGTACTGGGGGTTGTCTGCACAGAGTCCTGTGATGTGAACCACCTGTGGGTCTCACAGCCATGGATACCAACACCTGTTCCGGTGGAGGTGGTGGGGGTGAAATGGACTCTGTGAGGGTTCTTAGCTTTGGTGGTTTAACGTTCTATTTTTGTGCTGGTTGGTCTCCTGTGGGGAGGTGGCACTTTCCAGAGAACATCAGCTGTGGTAGTATGGAGAGGAGCCGGCCATGGGTGGGGCCCCAGAACCCTCAAGATTGTATGCCCTTTGTCTTCAGCTATCAGGGTGGATAGAGCGGGACCATCAGGTGGGGGCAGAACTAGGCTGTCTGATCTCAGACCTTTGTTGGGTGGGTCTTGCTGCAGCTGCAACAAGCTCCCAGGGCCTTTCCCGCTGCTTCCCCTACCCCTGTATTTCACTCGACTCTCTAACTTGACTCAGCTCCAGGTAAGGTCAAAAGCTTCACCTGCAAACTAGACCATCAGTTTCCCCAGTTGGGGGTGTGTGTTTGGAGCAGAGGATTTCCCTTTCCCACTTCCGCAGTTTGGGCACTCACAGTATTTGAGGTGTCTCCTGGGTCCTGCAGGAGCAATCTGCTTCCTTCAGAGTGTCTGTGGCTCCTTTGGGGTTCCTGGTTTGTTTTTGCGGTCATTCTGGAGCTAAAATTCACAATGCGAGCCTTCACATGCTGCTCTGTCCATCTGAGTCGGAGCTGCAATCTAGTCCTGCTTCCCACTGCCATGATGCCCTACTGAATTTTTGCATGTCTTTATAATAGAACAATTTCTATTTTGGGGGATATATACCCAGTAGTGGGATTGCTGGGTAGAACAGTATTTGTGTCTTTAGGTCTTCGAGGAATCAGCACATTGTCTTCCACAATGGTTGAATTAATTTATACTCCCACCAACAGTGTCTAAGCATTCCTTTTTCTCCACAACCTTACCGGTATCTGTTATTTTTTGACTTTTTAATAATAGCTATTCCAACTGGTATGAATGGTATCTCATTGTGGTTTTGACTTGTACAGAAATATATTGGTGATAGTGGGGTTGGTGTGGTTGCTTTGATGTGCTGATGTGTGCACTGTGGAATAAAGCAAATGAGCATTATGTTTGTGTCATTGACAACTGGTATTAATAGCATGGAAAAAAACAGATATCCACTAAGATCAATGAGTTTGACCTTAGAGTCCTGAAATAAACTGAATTGGAATATCAGTGTAAGGTCATTTATCTTTTTTAATAAAAAAATTATTTTTAGTATTATCCACTGAAACGGCCTAGAGATATTGATCAACCCAATTGTAGTGAGTAACCGTGGTGGTTAGATTGTGGTCCTTTAACTATTCCACTAAAAGAACAGTGTTCTTGAAAAAAAAAAAGACGCTTATTAGAGATCTAAGGTAGAAAATTTACTAGATGAGCCTGAAAATTATTATCAAAAACTAGTAGAACTATGTCAAAAGGACAGAGGAGCCAGCTTGAATAAGCTCCCAACTGTCCAGAGATGGGGCCATTTCAATATCAATAAGAACAATAGCTGTCATGGATAGAAACACAAAATATATTTAAGTCCATAGTTCAAAATGATACT
The DNA here is from genome assembly GCF_000001405.40 of Homo sapiens. NCBI lineage: Eukaryota > Metazoa > Chordata > Mammalia > Primates > Hominidae > Homo > Homo sapiens. The sequence goes on along the minus strand of NC_000013.11, from coordinate 77,667,318 downwards.
TAAATACATAAATCACCTTTGGAGAATACTAAAGTTTTGACTTACGACTTTGAAAACTGATGAAGGATAAAGCTCTTATTCTACCTTTTCTATAAAAATTTAAGATAACCTAATTATTTTGAAAGAAAGTATATTTTCATAGATGTATTTTGGCTAATAAATGAAAAGGGAAAAATAAAATGAAAACAGCACATTTAGCAATGTCTAATGAATTGCTAATCTCACAAAATGACGGTAGATATTATGCACCTCCAATGAAAGTACCCAATATCACTGATTAAGTAGTCTTCACACACACACCACCACCACCAACACAAAACCTGAATTTGATCACATCTCAAGACATGGAAATACAGGGACTGAGAAACATGTGTAAAACAAAACAAAAAATACCATCAGCAAAAGCTCTGTAAGACAAGTGATCCAACTTCCTTCTGCTCCTCCTCCTTCTCTTCCTCCTTCTCCTCTCCTCCTCTCATCCTCCTTCTTCTGCAACAACAACAGAATTGCAAGAGGAAAAAAAAAGAGACAGAGGAGGAACCTATATACTAAAAGAGAGGACATATCAACAATGTGTAGTGATTAAATCATAATTCAAATAAGCTTAAATAAGGAGAAAACATTTATAGCATGAATGAATTGTGAAATGTGAGCACTACCTGGATATTTGAGGAGATTAAGGAAATAAAGCTAATTTAAGAGATATATTGGTGATATTTGTGCCCTGTTCTAAAAACATACAGATAGTAAGTATACTATGGTAAACATATATATTAACTGCCATTGCATCAGTCTCCTGAGATTGCAGCTAAGTGACAGTAGGATAGGGATAGGAGAGTGGAGGGTGATGGAGGTGGGAAATGAAGGTTTGTTGTTTTCTTTAGCCAGAGAATAAATTATAAAGTGCATTTCAAATTTGGGTTTAATTCACTTGAAGCATCTATATGAACAGCTTAGAAAGTCAATTGGTGACCTGTTAAGGCATAAAGATCATTGAATAAGTTTCTTTCTGTCTCATTTTTCTCTACTAAACAAAATGTGTTAAAAGTTCATAGTGGCCTGGCATGGTGGCCCACACCTGTAATCCCGGCACTTTGGGAGGCTAAGGCAGGCAGATTGCTTGAGCTCAGGAATCCAAGATCAGCCTGATCAACATGGGGAAAACCCCATCTCTTAAAAAAAAAAAATACAAAAATTAACCAAGCATGGTGGTGCACACCTGTAGTCCCAGCTGCTTGGGGGATGAAGCGGGAGGATCCCTTGAGCCCTGGAGGTCAGGACTGCAGTGAGCCAAGATGAAGCTACTGCATTCCAGCCTGGGTGACAGAATGAGAACCTGTCTTAAAAAAAAGAGAAACGTTTATAATGAATTCAAGCATCTCCACATATATTAGAATTGACAGAAGTCTCAATACCTTATGAAAAAGATATATATATATATATATATATATATATCCATATGCCTCCATTTAAGAATTTTATGTTTGTTAAAATTTAGTAGAACCTTTAGATTTTTCCCTTTTTTCTCCTACATTAACCATGCAGTATTGAAGAAAACCATGAGAATAAAAAAATAACAAATAAAGAAAAAAAGAATTTTTAAGGCTAAATATTTTGATCTTTATACATTTTCATTTTTCTTCCTGTGTGGTATATATTTCCTTTACCATGTTAAAATATCATGGAATTAGGCACTTCATCAGTATATTCCTCTAGCATTTCTTGAACAATTCTGCTTTCACTTAATGATTGTTAAAAATTTTCTCAGGTTGTAACGTCTCTAAAAATGTGGGATATTAGAACCAGAAACACACGTATGTAAAGTGCCTGAAACACAGTTGGTGCCCAGTGAGTAGAATTACAATGATGTCAACACATTATTAATATGGGTGTACCTTTGATTTTCCCCCTTTTCCTACCCATCAGAGAAAGTCTGCATTGACGAGCCCAATTCCCCCCCTCCTCTCACCTCTTAAAGGATAAATATAATTTTGTGCTAAATTTAAGCCTAAACCAATCTACTAAATAATGTGAAGAGAAAAAGAAGAGAAGGCCAGGGGCCTGTGGGGGTAGGGTGGTGGGGTTGAAGATAAGAGAAGTAGAAAAGGAAAGGGGATTTTAATAAGATGTCGAGTATGTATTTGAATCCCCTTGAGCATCCTTTGAGAGGTATCTTATAAAAGATGGAATTCTTTTTAATTATGTTTCAGGAGTCAAACTACCCTTCTTGACTATAGCAGTGTTATGGGACTGAACCCTGAGAATGTCTGGATTTACAAGGCTTACATTATTGATATGAAAGTCGTGTAGAAGAATATTAACATTGCTCAAAGAGAGGTTTGGCCTTGGCCTAGAGTCCTGGGAGATAACTTCTAAGGCCTTGGAATGTCCTACTTGCTAAGTGCGTGTTTGTTTACCTGGCAGATTTGGACCATGGCAGATATTTTATGCTAACAATATGATTTACAGTGGGGCCTTTGGATCATACAGTATCAGTACCTCTGGAGAGGCTGGAGACTAAGGTCAGCCATGCAAGTGGTCAACCATGTCCACAAGACAAAATTCTAGTAAAAACTCTGGACACCAAGGTTTGGATGAGTTTCCCTGGTTGCCCCTATGCAGTGCATATTGTCACACATCATTGCTGGGAGAAATAGGTGCTGTCCACACAACCCCACTGAAGAGAACAACTGAAGCTCAACATTAACGTCTCCTGAACACTGCCCTGTGCTCCTCTTCCCTTGGCTTATGTTAACCTGTATCCTTTGCCTATAATAAACTGTGAATATAACAGCTTCTCTGAGTTTTCTTGGGGGACCTCCCAAACTGATAGCTGTGTCAGAACTGAAGGTGGTCTTAGAGACCCCAGAACTCGGAAGTTGACGTTAGAAATGAGGATGGTCTTGGGGACCCACAAACTTTGCAGAAGTGCATTGAGAATATAGTTCTACACACAAATGTAAGATAAAAGTATTTATGGAAAAGCCTAAAAGTGAAAAGGGGAGCCACATTTAGAGGAGAACAAGTCTAGAATTGTAGACCAACAAGCTATACTTCCAGAGAAAATATTAGAATACATAGTCAAAATAGCAAAATATGGAAAATGATATAACTTCTAAAGGAGTAAATGATGATTTAATGTATTATTTACAGTAGTGATATAGTAAATTAAAAGTATGTGTAGAATGGGTATAATGCATATTAACTTTAGTAAAATTGTTATTTAGTCCCAGGGTTTGATGTTTTATTTATTTTTATTTATTTATTTATTTTGAAGTTAACTTCTTGCCTTTTAATAATATCTTTGAATATAGATGGTTTCGATTCTCCAATAACAAGATGTAGAGTGGCCAAATGGTTTTTCATACATGTTTCCCTAGTCCAGACACCCAAGAGTATGTCCCTCTCTTGGGCATAAGAAAACCTAGAGTTATATTTAGGGCATCATGTGTGGTGAATAGTTGACCGAGCTGGCATGCTCACAATGACCAAATTATGTTTGTCATATTTTAATCCAATACATTGATCTACTATGAACTTGTAAATAATGTGTTTGCTTTCTAGACACATTCCAGGAAGACCAGAGAAACTGACTTTTATCCATATGGAATAATCCACTGGCAAATTTCTTTTAGGACAGACCAAAGCTGATCTAGAACATAATCTTTACATACTTGGATCCTTCCCATCAGACGAGAAAGAACATCTGGGGTGAAAGGCTCCATTAGAAGAGCAATGTGGGATGGTGCTGTGCTGACAACTGGTAGTTCCTGCCCTACATCTTTGTAGAGGACTGGAGCCCAGAGCATGCCATGGTCAACTTGTATGTTGAAGTGAAGACCTCCTTCAAGGTGTGCATGTGCTTATTACAGATATGCCACGGTGCTAAGTACCCCCAGGACTACAGGAAAAAATAAGAATAGATGCTGTATCCATGATCATGAGGCACACAGGCCAGAGCGCCAGCTGTGGAATTGCACAGCCCGGGTTCAAAGCCTGGCTGGGCCATGACCACCTGAATGACCTGAGGAATGGTCTCAGGCAAATTTGTAAAAAGTGGAGACCTTGCCTGCCAGGGAGGCATGTGGTAAGAGGCGCACCCAGTCAGGTCAGGGCACCGCGTCCTCTCTTTGGAAACCTGCGGAGCGAGGCTGGTGGCCCTTGAGGCCACGGCAGCCATGGAGAAGGCGGGCCTGGCTCCAGGTGGCACAGAGGCACTGGAGAGGCCCCGGGGGAGCCTGGCGGGATCTGGCTGGTCCTGCGCTCTGCTTCCAGGTTCTGGCCCTGTAACCCGGGGGACAGGGCTGGCCAAGACAGGGCCACTGGGTGCCAGCCAGCACCTGGGCCAGGCGCCAGGCAGAAGGGCTCTGGCAGATCAGCCCCGCACCCCCAACAGCCCCACAGGGGGGCCCATCCAGGGCCACACACCTGCCCCCAGGAGCAGGACGTCCCTGAGGCTAGAGTCCAGCTGGACCGGTGGAAGGGTCTCACCCTTTGCCCTTTGACTCCTCTTGTAGGCACCCTCACTGGGCTCCTAAGCACTCCTCCACACCCTGGCTCTGTCACCAGCCCCATGGTGATGTCATAAACTCCCAGATGCCCAGTGTGCACCCGGCCACAGAGAAGTGGGTGACTTAGGAGTATCCTCTCCACTTCTGACCCTTAGTTTCGTCTGTGCACAACTCGCTCAAAATGGGCAACTCACTAAGTGTATTTTGTTCCTGGTCCCACTGCAGGTTCTGGCCATGCCATCAGCAACCTGCTCGTCTTGTCCGTGAGGCCTTCCCAGCTGGCCGGGCTGCCCCCACGGCTCCTGCACGTGTGCCTGCGCCGGGAATCTGGGGCCGTTTCCCACTCCTCTTCAACCGTCAGCGACATCTTGGGCCTTCTTTTCCAGTCAGGTGGGACAGCGACCCTATGAGGCTGTGTCTTATCCCTCGGAACACGGGCACCCCACAGAGGGTCCTGCCTCCTGTGGTCTGGAGCACCCCCTCAAGGAAGAAACCCGTGCTGTCTGCTCGCAACTCCATGATGTTTGGACACCTCAGCCCCATGAGGATCCCTCATCTCAGAGGCAAGTTTAACCTTCAACTTCCTTCATTAGATGAGCAGGTGATCCCAGCCAGGCTCCCGAAGACGGAGGTGAGGGCAGAAGAGCCCAAAGAAGCAACGGAGGTGAAAGACCAGGTAGAGACCCAGGAGCAGGAGGACAATAAAAGGGGCCCCTGTAGCAATGGGGAAGCAGCCTCCACCTCTAGGCCCCTGGAGACTCAGGGAAACCTCACTTCCTCCTGGTACAATCCCAGGCCCTTGGAGGGAAATGTCCACCTCAAGAGCTTGACAGAAAAGAACCAGACTGACAAGGCCCAGGTGCATGCAGTGAGTTTCTACTCCAAGGGCCATGGAGTCGCCAGTTCACACAGCCCTGCTGGAGGCATCCTTCCCTTTGGGAGGCCTGACTCACTTCCAACAGTGCTCCCTGCCCCAGTTCCGGGCTGCTCCCTGTGGCCAGAGAAGGCGGCCTTGAAGGTGCTGGGTAAAGACTACCTGCCCAGCTCTCCAGGCTTGCTGATGGTGGGGGAGGACATGCAGCCCAAGGATCCTGCAGCTCTTGGATCAAGTAGGTCTTCTCCACCCAAAGCTGCCGGCCACAGGTCCCACAAAAGAAAACTGTCGGGGCCACCACTGCAGCTGCAACCGACCCCTCCCCTGCAACTGAGGTGGGATAGAGACGAGGGGCCCCCACCAGCTAAGCTTCCATGTCTATCTCCTGAGGCACTGTTGGTGGGTCAGGCTTCCCAAAGAGAAGGACACCTCCAGCAGGGCAACATGCATAAGAACATGAGGGTGTTAAGTAGAACATCAAAATTCAGGAGACTAAGACAGCTGCTTAGGAGGAGAAAGAAGAGACGGCAGGGCAGGTGTGGTGGCTCACGCCTGTAATCCAGCACTTTGGGAGGTCCAGGTGGGCGGATCAGGAGGTCAAGAGACTGAGACCTGAGGAGCATCTCTGCCTGCACCATCTGGGAAGTGAGGAGCGCCTCTGCCCAGCTGCCCCACCGTCTGGGAAGTGAGGAGCGCCTCTGCCTGGCCACCACACCGTCTGGGCAGTGAGGAGTGCCTCTGCCGGGCCCCCACCCTATCTGGGAAGTGACGAGCACCTCTGCCCAGCCGCCTCACAGTCTGGGAAGTGAGGGGCGCCTCTGCCTGGGCCCTGCCCCGTCTGGGCAGTGAGGAGTGCCTCTGCCAGGCTGCCGCCCTGTCTGGGAAGTGAGGAGTGCCTCTGCCCGGCTGCCGTCCTGTCTGCGAAGCGAGGAGTGCCTCTGCCTGGCCCCCTTACACCGTGGGAAGTGAGGAGCACTTCTGCCTGGCCACTGCCCTGTCTGGGAAGTGAGGAGCACCTCTGCCCAGCCGCCAACCATCTGGGAATTGAGGAGGAGCACTGCCTCTGCCCGGCCTCCACCCAATCTGGGAAGTGACGAACACCTCTGCCTGGCCACCTCATGGTATGGGAAGTGAAGAGCACCTCTGCCCAGCCGCTGCCCCATCTGGGAAGTAAGGAGCGTCTCTGCCTTGCCGCCGTCCTGTCTGCGAAGTGAGGAGTGCCTCTGCCCAGCCGCAGCCATGTCTACGAAGTGAGAAGTGCCTCTGCCCGGCCCCCTCACTGTCTGGGAAATGAGGAGCGCCTCTGCCTCGCCGCCGTCCTGTCTGCGAAGTGAGGAGGGCCTCTGCCCAGCCGCAGCCATGTCTACGAAGTGAGAAGTGCCTCTGCCCGGCCCCCTCACCGTCTGGGAAATGAGGAGCGCCTCTGCCTCGCCGCCGTCCTGTCTGCGAAGTGAGGAGGGCCTCTGCCCAGCCGCAGCCATGTCTACGAAGTGAGAAGTGCCTCTGCCCGGCCCCCTCACCGTCTGGGAAATGAGAAGCGCCTCTGCCTCGCCTCCATCCTGTCTGCGAAGTGAGGAGTGCCTCTGCCCGGCCCCCTCACCGTCTGGGAAATGAGAAGCGCCTCTGCCTTGCCACCATCCTGTCTGCGAAGTGAGGAGGGCCTCTGCCCAGCCGCCGCCCTATGTACGAAGTGAGGAGTGCCTCTGCCCGGCCCCCTCACGGTTTGTAAGGGAGGAGCGCCTCTGCCCATCCCCCGCACCGCCTGGGAAGTGAGGAGCGCCCCTGCCCAGCCGCCGCCCTGTCTGGAAAGTGAGGAGCACCTCTGCCCGGCCCCCTCACCGTTTGTAAGGGAGGAGCGCCTCTGCCCAGCCCCCCCACCACCTGGGAAGTGAGGAGCGCCTCTGCCTGGCCCCCTCACCATCTGGGAAGTGAGGAGCGTCTCTGCCCGGCTGCTGTGCAACCTTCCAAGTGTGAAATGACAGCCTTGTGTGTGATCTTTCTGCCCTCCCCAAGTTTGCATTTTTGACATTAAAGTTTACTTTTTAATTAAAAAAAAGGAGATCGAGATCATTCTGGCCAACATGGTGAAACTCCATCTCTACTGAAAATACAAAAATTAGGCAGGCATGGTGGCTTGTGCCTGTAGTCCCAGCTACTCGGGAGGCTGAGGCAGGAGAATGGCTTGAACCCGGGAGATGGAGGTTGCAGTGAGCCAAGATCGCACCACTGCACTCCAGCCTGGTGACAGAGCAAGACTCCGTCCTAAAACAATGTTATAGTTGAGAGCAGGATGGTCTTTTGGGACAGGAGGAACAAGAGGTTCTGGTTGCCACTCTTCAATGAGTTCTTCTTTTTCCTTGACTGTAAGATCAGATCGTTCTTGTAATTTGTAAGTCTTAGAGAAAAGAAGTCTGATTATCCAGAGTATCAGAATCCCTTCCAAAATAAGATGGTAATCAGGAGCCTCGTAAAGCGCCTGTACCATCTCCACCAGAACCCACTGCTCCATGGCGGTCACCAGAGTTAGCCACTTCCTTCCAGAAGGCGGGTCACAAGCATGTCCTCGGGTTTGATGTGTTAAAGCATCTCATATTAAACAGGCTCCAAGAGGACTACAAATTTAACTAATTCAAAAGTGACACATGCAGAGTACAAGAAGTAACTCACGAAAGAAGAAATCTATACAAATGCATGCTAGGACAGAACTTACTTTGCAAATGTATGGCATAAAATCGATCCAGACAAGTAAAAACCACAAGTTAAGTAGGAGTTAGCAGCGTGTCACTGTAATTCTAAAAATTAATAAAATACTGCATTATCCAAATAAGAGAATGGCATATAAGGCTAAGTGTGTCACTGTATTCCATTCTAGTGGGATAATTTTTAGATTATCATATTCATTTTAAAACCCCATATATAGTGAAAGAAATTTCAGCATGCTGGGTTCCAATCTTAGCTTTGCCACTAACAAACTGGCTATCTCATGGAAGCAATCAGAGTTTGGCCTTGCCCTAGAGCCCTGGGAGATAACTTCTAAGTCCTTGGAATGTCCTGTCTGCTAAATGTGGCTGTTTACCTGGGAGAGTCACGTCCCCAACTCTCTTCATCTTCAGATCCTGTAAATTGAGGACATCAGGCCAGAATCATACTAAAATCACCACACAGATCTTAAATCCTTTGTTCAACAGGAAAAGATATTATTAAAAATCGTTGGGGAGATCGAATCACAGTACCTTTGTATGCAAAGAGATGTTTCGCAGGAGGCTATGGGCTACCACTGGCTGATGAGCTATCACAGGGGCCAGGTCAGAGGCCCTGGCTCACAGGAATCTATAGCTGAGACTTTTACCAGCTCCCGTAGTCTTTCTTTAGTTATAAGGCCCTCATTTTAGCAGGCATGTAGCTAGAAGCTACATTTCACAACCTCCCTTGGAGTTAGGTGTGAAATGGGATATAAATGGCCAATTGGATATGAGTGAAAGGAATAGAGTAGCTTCTTCATCACATCCATTCTTTTTCTCTTCTCATTGGGGCAATTATAGAGCTGGTGAGCCAGGGTTATTTTGTTTTGTTTTGTTTCCTTTTTTGAGACAGGGTCTCACTCTGTTGCCCAGGCTACAGTGCAGTGGTGCGATCTTGTCTCACCACAACCTCTGACTCTTGAGTTCAAGTGATCCTCCCACCTCAGCCTGCCAAGTAGCTGGGACTACAGGCATGTACCACCATGCCCCACTAATTTTTGTATTTTTTGTAGAGATGAGGTTTTGCTGTGTTGTCCAGGCTGGTCTTCAACTCCTGGCTTCAAGCAGCCTTCCCGCCTTAGCCTCCCAAAGTGCTGGGATTACAGGCGTGTGCCACCGCACTCGGCCTTCGGCTTTGATCATGAGATACTAGCGGACGGCAGTGCAACATATGCTTGGGACACTTTCCTGGGCAGAGCCTACTTTTGTTTTCAAGTGAGAAATATATATTTTTTAAAAATTCTATCTTGTTTGAGCCACTGTATTTTAGAGGTTTTTGCTACGTCACTTAGCTCTGCCCTAATTTATATAGAGATTGGTACTAGGAATCAGGTGCTATCAAACAGGAGCCTAAAACACATGCTATTAGTTAATTGTTTTTGTAATAGGAATGAAGAAATAAATGTTGAAACTAAAAGTTTCTTGACTCTTCTTATGCCATGGCAAAATATTTGACAAAGGTCTCACTTGCCTTAGTTACCTACGAGGCCCATGCTAGAAAAAGAGATTGGGAAAACCTAGAATATTCGTATATTTTAACTGTTTCTTACTGAACGCTATGGCTCAAATGTTTGTATCCTTCCAAAGTTCATATGTTGAAAACCTATTCTCCAGTGTGATGATATTCAGAGGTGGGGCCTTTGGGAGGTAATTAGATCATGAAGGTGGAGCCCTCATGAATGAGATGGTGCCCTCATAAAAGAGGCCGCAGAGGGCTTCTTTGTTTTTCTACCATTTGAAGGCACAGCAAGAAGGTTCCATCTCTGAACCAGAAAGTAGGACGGCAGCAGAAACCAAATCTGCCGGCACCTTGATCTTAGACTTCGCAGCTTTCAAAACTGTGAGAAATAATGTTTTGCTGTTGATAAGCTACCCAGTTTATTGTATTTTGCTATCACAGCTCAAATGGACAAAGACACTGCATTTACCATGAGAGAGATGAAGTAAAGCAGAATTTAGTCAGTTTGCAAGCACAGATGCCTACATGTTGCAGTTCAGCCCTGAGACCTGTAATCAAAATTGACATTTACAGAGCATTTCAGTCAAATGTCATAGAATACACATTCTTTTCATCAGCACATGGAACATTCTCCAGAATAGACTATATCTATATCTAAAACCATATTATTTCAATAGATTCTAAAAAACATTTCATAAAATTCAATATCCCTTTATGATCAACATCCTAAAAAACTGGTTATAGAAGGGAAGATATCTCAATATATCTCTTATCAGCCCACAGCAAACATTATATTGAATGGGAAAAAAATTAAAAGCCTTTTCTCTAAGATCTAGAACAAGAAAAAGATGCCCACTTTTACCACTTTTATTCAGCATAGTACTAGAAGTCCTGGACAGAGCAATTAGGCAAAAAAAAAAAAAAGAAAAAAAGAAAAGAAAAGAAAGAAAGGGCATCCAAATTGAAAAGGAAGAAGTCAAATTAGCCTTGTTCACAGATTACAAGATTTATATTTTAAAAATCCTAATGACTTAGCCAAAAAGTGGGTAGAACCGATAAATGAATTCAGTAAAGTTGCAGGATGCAAAATCAACATACAAAAAATCAGTGACATTTATATACACCAAGAGCAAACAATATGAAAAAGAAATCAGGAAAATAATTCCAATTACAATAATGACAAAGAATGTAAAATACCTAGGAATTAACCAAAGAAGTGAAAGATCTCTACAAGGAAAACTATAAAACTTTGGTAAAAGGAATTGAAGAGGACACAAAATTTGGAAAGCTATTCCATGATCAGGGATTAGAAGAATTAATACTGCTAAATTTGTATATCAATATTACTCAAAACAATTTACAGATTCAATGCAATCCCAATCAAATTACCAAGGACATTATTCACAGAAATAGAAAAAAAATCCTAAAATTTATATGGAACCACAAAATACCCCAAGTAACCCAGGAATAGCCAAAGCAATCCTGAGGAAAAGGAACAAAGCTGTAGGCATCACACTTCCTGACTTCAAAATATATTACAAAGCTATAATAACCAAATCAACATGGTACTGGCATATAAACAGGCATCTAGACCAATGGAACAGAACAGAGAACCCAGCTATAAATCCATACATTTACAGCTAATTCATTTTCAACAAAGGCACCAAGAACAATGGGAAAGAACAGTCTCTTCAATAAATCGTGCTGGGAAAACTGAATATCCATATGAGGAAGAATGAAACCAGAAACCTATCTCTCACCATATACAAAATCAAATAAAAATAGATTAAAGACTTAAATCTAAGACATGAAATTATGAGATTACTAGAAGAAAACATTCGGGAAATTATCTGTAACATCGGTTGGGGCAAACATTTTTTGTATAAGACCTCAAAAGCACAGGTGACATAAGCATACTTAGATAAATGGGAGTACACCAAGCTAAAAAGCTTCTGTACAGCAAAGGAAAGAGAACAAAGTGAAGAGACAACCCACAGAATGGGATAAAGTATTTGCAAACTATCCAGCTGACAAGAGATTAATAACTAGACTATATAAGGAGCTCAAACAGGAAAAATCTAATAATCTGACTTAATAATGGACTAAAGATCTGACCATTTTTCAGAAAAAGACATACAAATGTCCAATAGGTATATGAAAAAATGTACATCACTAATCTTCAGAGAAATGCAAATTAAAACTACAACGTGGTATCATCTCATCCCAGTTAAAGTGGCTTTTATAAAAAAGACAGGGACCAGTTGATTCTGCTGCGGATGTGGAGAAAGGGGAAGGAACCCTCCTACACTGTTGATGGGAATGTAAATTAGTACAGCCGCTCTAGGAAACAGTATGGAGGTCCCTTAAAAATTTAAAAATAGAACTACTATATAATTCAGCAATTCCATTATTGGGTAGATAGCCAAAAGAAAGGAAATCAACATATTGAAGAGATATCTGCACTATCATGTTTACTGCAGCACTATTCAAAGTAGCCAAAATATAGAATAAACCTAAAAGCCTGTCAATGAATGAATGAAGAAAATTATATATATATATGTATATATACATATATATGATATTAGATATAAAAAAGAATCAGATCTTGTCACTTGCAACAACATGAATGGACCTGGAGGTCATTATGTTAAGTGAGATAAGCCAAGCATAGAAAGACAAATATCACATGCTCTCACTCATAATTGGGAGCTAAAAAAAGTGGTTCTCATGAAGATAGAGAGTATTTTGGTGGTTACCAGAGGCCAGGAAGGGTTGGCAGAAGGGGAGGATGAAGAGAGGTTGTTTAATGGGTACAAATATATAGTTAGATAGAAGAAATAAGACCTGGTGTTCAATAGATCAGTAGGGTGACTATAATTAACAATCATAAGTCTTTGTACATTTCAAAAAGCTAGAAGAGAATAATCCAAATGTTTCTCACATATACAAAAGATAAATATTCAAGATGGTCAATACCCCAGTTACCCTGATTTGATCTTTATAGGTTATATGAATGTATCAAATTATCACATGTACCCTGAATATATGTACATCTATTATCTATCAGATAGATAGATAGATAGATAGATAGATAGATAGATAGATAGATAGATAGATAGACTGGGAGTCCAGTGATTGAGGATTTAACCAAGCTAGATGATATGGTTTTGATCTGTGCCCCCACTAAATCTCATGTTGAAATGTAATTCCCAGTGTTGGAGGTGGGGCCTGGTGGGAGGTGATTGGATCATGGGGGCAGTTTCTCATGAATGGTTTAGCACCATCCCCCTTGGTGTTGTCTTCAACATAGTGAGTTCTCATGAGATCTGGTTGTTTAAAAGTGTGTAGTACCTCCCCACTTTCTCTTTCTTGCTCCTGCTCCCACCATGTGAGCTGCCTCACTCCCCCTTTGCCTTCCTCCATAATTGTAAGTCTCCTAAGGCCTTCCCAGAAGCTGAGCAGATGTCAGCATTATGCTTCCTGTACAGCCTATGGAACTGTGAGACAAACCTCTTTTCTTTATAAATTACCCAGTCTCAGGTATTTCTTTATGCCAATGCAAGAATGGATTAATAAACTAGGAAATCCAACTACAACTTTATGACAAAGAGCAAAAGATATCACTGTCCCTCAGAAACTCATGCAGGGCCTTCCATTAAGTGCTTTTCCTCAAACAGTGGGAATCAACTCACCTGCAAAGATCATTCAATTGAGGGAGAGAGGGATGAGCCAAGCATGGAAGCCAGCAAATAAAAGAGAAAAGTCTGCAGATGGAAGAACTATGACCACCTAAGGCCTTTGCTAAGGTTTCCCTCATATGGAACTGACTAGAAGGAAATAGACTAGAAGTCTATTACATTTTTGAGCAGATTGTACTGCTTAAAAATAAAACATAAACCAGACTTACAGAAGCTGTGATAGTTTGCCATTCCCTCCTCTCACCCTGAAGTAACTTTTCTGTCCCCAAACCCACACCTGTAGAAAGCAGGTCATAAAAGCTGTGCAGCCACAAGGAGGCCAAACTCTTCAACGTCCACCTCAGGTGTGACCATGGAGGCAAGCGGACAAAGGCGTCCCTCTCAGACAGCAGAATCAGGTCAAACCCAGGAACTTAATACCAGAGGAAACTTTTCATAATTACTGCCTGGCAAAATTGTTAGCTAACACAGACCACAGACTGCTAATCTCCATCCTTCCCTTTTCTGAATGAGAGTTCTCATTGTGATTATCTTGTTCCTACTCCACAGACATGTATTGGGCACCTGGGAGGATAGATAACTCATATTTCAGTCTATAGGTCTCTGGACTGGAAGAAGTCATATCAGCACCTAACAGAGGGCACTAAGGGTCAACCAGAATTCCTAGCCTGTTAGCTGGATGGGTAATTGAATGGGACTTAGAGATGTCTTCCTTGAGGAGAGTTATGTGTGTAGGAAGAAAGGTGGACTTGGGTACTTGCACAAGCAACTCTAGAAACAGTTTTTTTTTTTTTTTTTAACAGATATTGCTCTTTATTCCCAATATTCATTCTGCTTTCTTCCTTTAGTAATAGAAACTCCTTAAATGTAATGGAAACTCATAGCTAGAGACTACATTTCATTCTCTTGTGCAACTACACCTAGTCAAGTGTCCCAAGGTATGTCAAATGAGATGTGAGTGGAAATCATGTGCAACTTTTGTGTCACATCCTTAGAAAGGAAGATGGCTGCTTTCCACTCCCCCTTGCCTGAATGCTGGAAAGGGGAAGCAGAGCTGGAGAGCCTGCTTTGACCTGGTATTGAAAGCAGCTTGCTAGGGGATGGTGGAGCAATAAGACAGAAGGAACCTGCATCCCTGGATGAACTAGAAACAGAGCTGCTTGCCTTCCCTGGACCACAACCTAATTCTGGACTGTTATGTGGGGAGAAAAATAAATTTCTATGTGTTTGGAGCCACTGTCTTTCTGAATCTCATTGTTACAGAAGCTTAGCCTGTACTCTACCTAATACAATATCTAAATGTTTACATGCCTAGCAATAGTGAAATGGCATAGAGGTTTTCGTACTAATTTTTCAATTTGATTTATTTTAAAAACTATATTTTAGAGTAGTTCTTGACATACAAAAAAACTGTGAAGATAGTATACAGGTCTTGTGTACCCCACACTCAGGTTCCCGTATTATTAACATCCAACATCAGTATCGTACATCTGTCATAATTGATAAACCCATTATAAACTAAAATCTGTATTTTATTCAGATTCGCTTAGTTTTTACCTAATGTCTTTTTTTTCCATTCCAGGATCCCATCCAGGATACCATATTACATTTAGTTGTCATATCTCCTTAGCCTCTTCTTGGTTATGACAGTTTCTCAGACTTTCTTGTTTTTGATAACCTTAACAATTTTGAGGAGTACTGGGCCCTCAGTTAAGGTATTTCTGATGTTTATCTCATGATTTGACTAGAGTTATGGGTTTCAAGGATATTTATCTCATGATTAGACTGGAGTTATGCATTTCAAGGAAGAAGAATGCAGAGGTATAGGGCCACTTCTAACACATCATATTGAGGGTATGTGCCAGTGATATGATTTATTACTGTTGATGTTAATCCTGATCACTTGGCTGAGGAAGTGTTTGTCAGGTTTCTCCACCATAAAGTTACTCTTTTCCCCCTTCTTTCCATACTGTGCTCTTTGGAAGGAAGTCACTATGCACAGCTCATACTTTAGGAGTGGAGAGTTATGTTCCATCTCCTTAACAATGGGATAGCTACATAAATTATTTGGAATTCTTCACATGGGAGATTTCTGTCTTCTTCTCCATTTATTTATTTATTCCATTATTTACTTACACCATCATAGCCTCATGGATATTTATTTTATACTTTGGGTTATAATTCAATACTACATAATTTATTTTGTTGCTCAAATTGTTCCCAGGTTTGGCCATTGGGAGCTCTTTCAGTTGACTTCTCTATGTCCCTTTAACATGTTCACATCATTTTGTGTGCATATGTGTGTGTTTGAGCTCTTCCTTATTTTCTGGCACTATAAGATGCTCCAGGTTTATCTTATGTACATCCTGCTCTAGTCCAAGAACCAGCCATATCGCCAGAGTGCTGGTTCCTTCTATGGGGGATGGTATGAGAAATCAAGACCTGAATGCAAGATATGCTCACTGCCACTGGAGTTTCATGGCTTCTAGGCATTCTCATCTGAGAGAGCAAGGAAATACATATATGTATGGTAACTGATATAGATATTTATATACACATACCTACAAATGTCTATATATAACCATCTGCATCTGTATTAAACCAACATGAGTTCATACTGATAATTCCAACTCTTTTTCATTGCCGCATGGATCATTCTAGCCTCCTTTGCTTGCTTATCCATAACCATCAATTGCAACAGTGAAAAGCCTGGCTCCCACAATCTGCTATCCATTTACTTAACTGTTCAATTCCAGGATACATGTATAGTGGTTTCAGAGTTGTTAACCCTTATGCCCATGGGAAAGAACTTTATCAACTAGAGTACAACGTCAGTATACAGTTGCTTTGCCTTCAGTCTTACAATCTTTACTCATTTTCAAAGTCACTTAGGTCAAGACCTTTTCCCCCTTACCTTTTAGTGATACTGTATCATTAGACTCTTTTGTCACATTCTGCATTTCATGTTGAAATCCCCTGCCCCTGACCTCCTAAATGATATTTTCAATTTGTCTATTATTAGAGTTCATTCTTTGTACTGTAAAGTTCTGTGGGTTTTGATGAAGACACAGTGTCATGTATTCATTATTAGAGTATCACACAGAATACTCTATTAGTTCTATTGCCCTAAGAAACTCCCTGTGCTTCACTTATTCAACTCTCCATCTGCACCACCACCCCCAACACACACACTTTCCCTGAATCCCTAGCAACCATTGATCTGTCTACTGTCTCTATGGTTTTGCCTTTTCTAGAATGTTATATAAATGAAATCACACAGTATGGAGTCTTTTTCAGACTTATATAAATGAAATCATAGAGTATGGAGTCTTCATTCACTTAGCAATAGGCAGTTGAGATATATTCATATTTCTATAGACTAAGTAGTTTATTCCTTTTCATTGCTGAATATTATTCCATTGTATAGATATACCACAGTATGTTGAGCTACTTCTTTATTGAAGGACAACTTGATTTCTTCCAGTTGTTTATTATTATAAATAAA